>NC_000010.11:83476428-83627943 GCF_000001405.40 Homo sapiens
CATCCTTCCATCTCATTAATTCCAGAAGATATAAATGAGCAAGTGTTAAACACTGGGGGAAAACAGCCTGGCTTCTGATCTCTTCCTTGCATAGTCAGCTGTTGCTCTGGCTGATTTTAGACTTAAACACCGAAACAGCGAGCTAAGAGAGAACGCATCCACAAAATTGGGTAACATAAGAAGGATAATTTTTGAGAGACCACCTGTGTGCAAATCTTTTTCTCCTATTTACAAGTTGTGTGATTTTAGGTAAATTATTAATACTTGCTCAACCATATTTCATCATCTTTAAAATGGTGAACTATAGTAGCACATACTTCAAAGGATTGTTATAAGAGTAAAATAGGATAAAGTATAAGAAAAGTATTTATTCTAGTGTCTAACATACAGCAAGTCTCAAGAAAATTAGCGTCATTTTTATTGTATTTTTAAGAACAGCAGACAAGTGTATCTACTACTCATGTCTTATGCTACTTTCCTTACAACAAAATTATCCCAATGACCGTTTTGCATGGCACATTTATGATCTTCTATTTATTCCTGTTCCTCCATCCCTTAAAGCTGATAAGCTCTGCATGTCTGTGTTTTCATATGAAGATAGACTCTCCTCTTATTTAAACTCCTCACCTCTTCACTCCTCCATGGGTCTTTTCCCTCACCATATGGCTCACCTCCTGCAGGAACCAGCAGGTCATTAATTACTCAGTAAGGGTCTGCCATGCTAACCTACCTCTCAGAACCTTATAATAAAATATTAATGCCAAAAACTACTGAAAAATTAAACTCTGCATGATCACCCTTAGAGTTATGCAGTAATAACTGACAGTAAACTGTTGTTACCCAAACCAACTGTTAAAGTAAACTATGATGCCTCTCTGAGAAGTGGCTGAGGCAGAAGCACAGATCCTTCTCACTCATTAATTTACGTTATTTGGGAAGCATCCACTTGTCACCCAGATTTGGCTGGTGAATAAAAAAAGTGGCATGAACTTATTTAATGAATTTTTTTCTCCCTGTGTATCATGAGGACAGAGTTTGAGTAAACTCAGTTTTAAGACTGAACGAATCATCTAATCTTCCCATCTCTTCACTTGCCCTTTGATTTTACAGATAGTTTCAGAGTCATACAATGAATTGCCCAACATCTTGTGTTGAATAGTGATGGCCATTTTTCAAATTCATTCACTTGTCTCCTTACTCTCCTATTTCCCCAGGTTTTTTTTTTTCAGGCTCTTACACTTACAGCTTGCTTTTATATTCCTAACAAATAGCTACCCTAAACTTATGAAATGCATATTCTTCCTTTGTCTTCCTTATGCTATTCTCTATTGCATGCTTTCTCCTCTATTCCTTTTAAAAATGCAAAATGTCAGAATCAGAGTGAAATCATCTCTTGAACACATTAAACCCAATTACTTTTATCAACAGCAGCACTAAAATATATGTTAACATAATTGATGGTTTCTGTGCCTTTATTTCTAAATATATTGTACAATATTTTATAAAAAACATTTATGTCTTAACATTTTCTAAATTAGGCTTTATTTTGTAAGGTGCTATTAGGTTCACAACAAAATTGAGTGGAAAGTATAGGCAGTTTCCACATGCCCCCAGCCTACATACACAGACAGCCTTCCCATAATCAACACACTGCTGCACCTCCCCCCAACACCACCCTGCCCCAGCAAAGAGTGGTACATTTGTTACAATTGATGAACCTTCATTGACACATCATTATCATCCCAAGTTGATTGTTTACATTAGGACTTACTCTTGGTGTTGTACATTCTATGGGTTTCAACAAATGTATAATAAATTATATTTAACATTATAATATGATAAAGAATAGCCAGGGTGTGGTGGCTCATGCCTGTAATCCCAGCACTTTGGGAGGCCAAGGTGGGTGGATCACCTGAGGTCACGAGTTCTAGACCAGCCTGACCAACATGGGAAATCCCATCTCTACTAAATACACAAATTTAGCTGGGCGTGGTGGTGCATGCCTGTAATCCCAGCTACATGGGAGGCTGAAGCAGGAGAATCTCTTGAACCCAGGAGGCAGTGATTGCAGTGAGCAGAGATTGCACCATTGCACTCCAGCCTGGGCAGCAAGAACAAACTCCATCTCAAAATAAATAAATAAATAAATTATAAAGAATAATTTCACTGCCCTAAAATTTCGCTATACTCTGCCTATTCATTCTTCTTTCCCCCTAGACCCCTGGCAACAACTGATCTTTTTACTGTCTTCATAGTTTTGTCTTTCACAAAATGTCATGTATCGACACAACTAGTTTTATTGCATTTACGTTATTGCACTTCACGGACTGCACTTTTCATAAATTCGAGGTTTGTGGCAACCCTGCACTAAGCAACTCTGTCAGCACTGTTTTCCCAACATTATGGCTCATTTAATGTTCCCGTATCACTTTTGGTAATTCTCACAATATTTCATACATTTTCATATTATTATATCTGTTATGGTAATTTATGATCTTTGATCTTTGATATTAGTATTGTGATTGTTTTTGGAGCACCATGAATTGTGCCCATACAAGATAGCAAACTTATTCTATATGTATTATTTGTGTTCTGACTGCTCTGCCAACTGGCCACTCCTCCATCTGTCTCCCTCTCCTGGATCCTGCCTATTCTCTGAGACACAATATTGAAATTCATTTAATTAATAACCTTATAGGTCTCTGAGTATTCAAGTGAAAGAAAGAGTCATATATCTTTTTCACTTTAAATCAAAATCTAGAAATTGTTAAGCTTAGAAAAAAATGTTGAAACCTGATATGAGCCAAAAGCTAGGCCTTTTATATCAAATAGCCATGTTGTGATTGTGAAGAAAAGAAAAAGTTCTTGAAAAAAATTAAAATTGCTACTCCAGTGAACACTGAGTGATAAGAAAACAGAACAGTCTTATTGCTAATGTGGAGAAAGTTTGAGTGGTCTGAATAGAAGATAAAACCAGCCACAATATTACTTTAAGCTAAAGCCTAATGTGGATCAAGGCCCTAACTCCCTTCAATTCTATGAAGGCTGAGAGAGGTGAGGAAGCTGCAGAAGGAAAGTTGGAAGCTAGCAGACGTTGATTCATGAGGTTTGAGAAGAGAAGTCATCTCTATAACATGAAAGTGCAAAGTGATGCAGCAAGTGCAGATGTAGAAGCTGCAACAAATTATCCAAAAGGTCTAGCTAAGATAAATGATAAAGGTGGCTACCCTAAACAACAAATTTTTAATGTAGACCTACCAGCCTTCTATGGGAAGAAGATGTCATCAAGGATTTCATGGCTAGAGGGAAGTCAATACTTGGCTTCAAAGCTTCAAAGTTCAGGCTGACTCTCTTGTTAGGGGCTAACGTAGCTGGTGACTTTAGGATGAAGTCAATACTCATTGACCTTTCCAAAACTCCTAGGGACCTTAAAAACTATGCACATGTGTTTATAGCATTATTTACTGAATATGTTAAGACCAGTGTTAAGACCTGCTGCTCAGAAAAAAATATTCCTTTCAAAGTAGTACTGCTCACTAACAATGAACCTAGTCACCCTAGAGCTCTGATGGAGATGAACAAGGAGATTAATGTTGTTTTCATGCCTGCTAATACAACCTCTATTTTGCTGCCCATAGATCAAGGAGTAATTTTGACTTTCAAGTCTTATTACTTAAGAAATACATTTTGTAAGGCTCTAGCTGTCATAGAGATTCCTCTGATGGATCTGAGAAAAGTAAATTTAAAACTTTGTGGAAAGGATTCACCATTCTAAATGCCACTTAGAACATTTGTGATTAACAGAAGTAGGTCAAAATAGCAACATTAACAGGAGTTTGGAAGAAGTAGATTGCAAAACTCATGGAGGAGTTTGAGGAGTTGAAGAATTCAGTGGAGAAAGTAACTGCAGATTTAATAGAAATAGCAAAAGAACTAGAATTGGAAGTGGAGCCTGAAGATGTGACTGAATTGCTGCAACCTCTTGATAAAACTTGAAGGGATGAGAAGTTGCTTCTCATTGATAAGCAAAGAAAATGGCTTCTTGAAATGGAATCTACTGCTGATGAAGATGCTGTGAACATCATTGGAATTACAACAAAGGATTTAGAAAATTATATAGACTTAGTTGATAAAGCAGAGGGAGAGTTTGAGAGAATTGAATTCAATTATCAAGGATTTCATAGCTAGAGAGAAGTCAATAACTGGCTTCAAAGCTTCAAAGAGCAGGCTAACTCTCATAAAGTTTGAAAGAAGTTCTACTCAAACAGCATCGCATGCTACAGAGAAGTCTTCTGTAAAAGAAAGTGTCAATCAATGCAGCAAACTTCACTGTTGTCTCATTTTAAGAAATTGACACAGCCCCCTGTTGCTTTAGCTACCACCATCCTGATCAGTCAACAGCCATCAATATGTGTCAAATATTTTCTCTCAGTTTCTTGTTTATGTTTTCGTTTTCTTATCAAGATAAGACTTTCCAGCACCAAAAAAATTGCTGTTTGCTGATAGCTTAAATGATTGTTCACTAAAATATTTTCAATAAGGTATGTATATATATTTTTAGACATAATTCTATTGCACACTAACAGACTACAGTATAGTATAAAGATAACTTTTATATCCACTGTAAAACTAAAAACTTATGGCTCCCTTTATTGAGATAGAACTGAACCCACAATATCTTCAAAATATGCCTGTAGCTGGAATCATACAGCATGTGGCCTTTTCAGACTGGCTTCTTTAACATAATATGAACTTAAGGTTCCTCTATGTCTTTTAATGGTGGGCTAGCTCACTTATTGTTAGTGCTCAATAGTATTACATTGCAGGGATGTATCACAGTTTGTTTATTCATTCACCAGTTGGGCATGCTGGTTGTTTCCAACTTGTGGCAATTATGAATAAAGCTGCTATAAACATCCATGTGCAGGTTTATGTGTTGACATAAGTTTTCAACTCACTTCAGTAAATGTCAGGGAGCATAATTGCTGAATTATATGTTGAGTATGTGTTTAGCTTTGTAAAAAAAAAAAAAAAAAACTGCCAAACTGTCTTTCAAAGCAGTTGTAGTATTTTTAATTTCACCAGTAATGAATGGGAGTTTCTGTTACTCCACATACTCCACATCCACACCAGCATTTGGTATTGTCAGTGTTTGAATTATCACCATTCTAACTGGTGTGTAGTGGTATCTCATTGCTGTTTTAATTTTCAGTTTCCTAATGATATGTTAAGTAGATTTTCATACACTTATTTACCATCTGTGTATCTTCTTTGGTGAAGTATCTTTTCATTTTTTGCCCAGGATTTAATCAGTTTTTTTTAATTATTGAGTTTTAAGAGTTGTTTATGTATTTTGGATAGCAGTTCTTTATCAGATATGCAGTTTGGAAATATTTTCTCCCAGTCTCTTGATTGTGTTCTCATTCTCTTAACAGTATGTTTCACAGAGCAGTAGTTTTAGATTTTTTTTATTATGGTAAAAAAGAAAACATGTAACATAAAATTTACCATCTTAACCATTCTTAAGTATATAGGTCAGGAGTGTTAAGTATATTCACATTGTTGTGAAACAGATTTTTAGAACTGTTTATCTTGCATTATGAACCTCTGTACCCATTAAACAACAACTCTCCTTTCCCTCTCCTTCATTTCTTGCTAATCAACATTTTGCTTTCTAAGAATATGACTACTTTGTATGCCTCATATTAGTGGAATTATTCAGTATATTTCTTTGTGGATTGGCTTATGTTACTTAGAATAATCTTCTCAAGGTTTGCCTATGTTTTAGCATATGACAGAATTTCCTTTATTTTAAAGGCTGAACAATATTCCATTGTATGCATAGACCACATTTTGTTAATCTAGTCATTCATCAATAAACATTTGGGTTGCTTCCATCTCTTGGCTATAATGAATAGTGCTGCTGTAAAAAAGAATGTGCAGATATCTCTAAGAGACCACGTTTTCCATTCTTTTGTATATATACTTAGAAGTAAGAGTGCTGGATCACATGCTTATTTATTTTTAATTTTTTAAGGAAATTCCATACCATTTTTCATATGAGTTGAATCATTTTACAATTCCATCAGTGGTGTACAGGGTCCCAATTTCTTCATATCCTTACCAACACTTGTTTTCTGTGTGTGTGTGTGTGCGTGTGTGTGTGTGTGTGTTGATTTTGTTTTGTTTTATTGGTTTTACTAGTTTTTTGCTTTTAAGTTTTTTTATTGTTGTTAGTAGTAGCTATTATAATGGTTGTGAGATGACTTTCTCATTTTGGTTTTGACTTGCTTTTCTTGGATAATTAGTGATGTTGAACATCTTTTCATATGTTTCTTGGCCACTAATATATCATCTTGGAGAAATGTCTATTCAAGTCATTTGCCCATTTTTAAGTTGTGTTATTTGATGTTTTGTTGTTGAGTTGTGAGAGTCTTTAAATATTCTGGATGTTACTCTCCTATCAAATACATGATTTGTAAATTTTTCTTTCATTCTATAGGTTGTCTCTTCAGTCTTTTGAGTCCTTTGAGCACAAACCATTTTTATTTAAGTTTTATGTAATCCCATTTGTCTATTTTCACTTTTCTTGACTGTGCTTTTGGTATTATATTCAAGAATTTATGCCAAATTTAATGTTGTGAAGTTTTTCTGCTATGTTGTCTGCCAGGAATTCTCTCATTTTATGCCTTACATGAAAGACTTTAATTCATTTTGAATTAGTTTTGCGTATGGTGTTATATAAGGGTCTAACTTCATGCTTTTGCATGTTGACATCCTATTTTCCCAACACCGTTTATTAAAGACATTGTCTTTTTATCATTGAGTAGTTTTGACTCGCTTGTCAAACATCGTTTGACCATGGTATTAGTCCATTCTCACACTGCTATAAAGAAATACCTGAGACTGGGTAATTCATAAGAAAGGAGGTTTAATGAAGAAATATCTGAGGCTGGGTAATTCATTAAAAAGGAGGTTTAGTTGGCTCACAGTTCCACAGGCTGTACAGGAAGCATGATGCTGGCATCTGTTAGGTTTCTGAGGAGTCCTCAAGGAAACTTTCAATCATGTCAGAAAGTGAAAGGAAAGCAGGCATGTCTTACATGGCAGGAGCAGGAAAAAGAAAGTGGGGAGGTGCTACACACTTTTAAACAACCAGATCACAGGAGAACTCAATCACTATGAGGGGACCAGAACCAATGGGGAAATCCACCCCCACAATCCAATCGCCACCCACCAGACCCCACCTACAACATTGGAGATTACAATTTGACATGAGATTTGGGTGGCAACACAGATCCAAACCATATTAACCATATACATATTTATTCCTAGGCTTTCCATTTTCTTTCCCTGGTTTATTTTTCTTTCTTTATGTCAGTACCATGCTGTCTTAATTATGTGGCTTTGTGGTACGTTTTTAAAAAGGAAGTGTGACTCCTCCAAATTTGATCTTTTTTTACAAAACTGTTCTGGCTATTTGCACCATAATTACAATAGCACAAGCTACCATTTTTGTCCTCATATTTACCTTTATGTGTAACAAATATATTTGTTATATTTTTTGTGTAGCTTTGTATTGCTGTCTGACACCCTTTCATTTCAACTTAAAGGATGCCTTTTAGCATTTCCATTAAAGAGGTCTACTTGTAATGTAATTCTGCAATTTTGATTCATCTAGGAGAGTCTTTATTTCTTTTTTATTTTCAAAAAACAGTTTTGCTGCATACAGTATTTCAACATGCTGAATATGTTATCCCACTCCCTTATGGTCCATATAGCTTCTGCTGAGAAATGTGCTGATATTTATGGAAGCCCCCTTGTAGATAATGAATTGCTTTTCTCCTGCTGCTGTCAAGATTCTCTCTGTCTTTGACTTTAGACAGTTTGATTATGATGTGTCTATGCGTAGTTCAATGTGGACTTTTTCTAGTTGGAGTTCTTTGAGATTCTTGAACCTATATAGCCTCTGCTTTCCTCAAATCTGGGAAGTTTTTGGCCATTATTTTCTTAAATAAGCTGCCCTCCTCTTTCTCTATGCTTCTTCTGGGATTTTTATAATGTGCATATTAGACTTCTTGAATGTCCAAAAGTCCCTTGGATTCTCTTTGCTGTTCTTCATTTTTTTTTACCTTTTTATTCAATGATTTCAAATAAGTTATTATCAAGTTTTGCTTATTCTTTCTTCAGCCTTATTAAGTCAGCTGTTGAGACCCGCTAATAATTTCTTCAGTGTACTTACGATATTTTCAAATGTGGAATTCCTATTTTATTATTTTTTATGCTTTCCATCTCTCTGTTGATATTTTCCTTTTGTTCATGCATGTTTTTCTGATTTCATCCAGTTTATTATGTCTTTTAGTTCACTGAATATCTTTATAAGAGTTATTTTAGATTCTTTTTCAGACAGCTCACAAATTGCATTTATTTAGTCTTAATTTCTGGAGTTTTGGGTTTCTTTGATTTGACCATGTTTTCTAGTTTTTTAATATGCCTTGTAACTTTTGCCAGAACTTGGGCATTTAACAAAAACTACCACCTCTCACAATCTTTGTGTAACTGGCTTTAGGCAGAGAAAAGTCTTCATCAATTAGCCAGGCTGGAGGTTCTAGGACCTCTCAAACCTTTTATAATCTCTTGCTGTCACTGATATTGGTCTTTAGAACTGCAGGTCTAACATGCAATGGTGCTTGCCTGTTATTCAGCAGGTTCCAAACTTTGCCATTTATCTGTTAGTGCTTTAAGTCAAGCAAGACAGCAATGAGTCCCTAGGGTATCTCCCAGACAAGCCAAAATGTTGGACACACAGTCCACTTCTTTATCTCCGTTCCAAGAGAGGATCTCTGTGTGGAGGGCTTCCTCCCAGTTGCTCTATACTATATCACATCAGAGGAGTTGTTTGAATGAGTGCGACAAGCACCACACATTTTTTACCCCTTTCTCTGGGATCCATTCTTGGTTTTACAATGGCCAAGGTACTCTCACAGAGCTGCTCTAGTTTATATATTGTTGTTAACTAAATGTCTCTGAGGCAGAAAGAGGGTCTATGACTTCTTAGTCTGCCATATTGCCGATATCACTCAAGTTTTTTTTTGTTTTTTGTTTTTGTCTTTTTGAGACGAGAGTCTCACTCTGTTGCCCAGGCTGGAATGCAGTGGTGCAATCACGGCTCACTGCAGCCTCAAATTCCTAGGCTCAAGTGAGCCTTCTGCCTCAGCCTCTCAAATAGCTAGGGCTGCAAGTGAGAACCACCAAGACCACCTAATTATTTAACTTTTTTTTGTAGAGACAGTATCCCACCATATTGTCCAGGCTGGTCTCAAACTACGGGGCTCAAGCAATTCTCCTATCTTGGCCTTCCAAAGTGTTGGGATTATAGTCATGAGCCACCACTCCCAGGCTCAGAAGTTTTTAATTGTAATGAAGTCCAATGTGTTATTTGTTTCTTTCATGTATTATGCCTTTTGTCTTGTATTTTAAAAGTCATCATCAAACCCAAAGTCATCTGCATTTTCTTCTATATGTTATCTTCTAGGAGTTTGAGTTTTGTATTTTACCTTTAGGTCTATGATCTACTTTAAGCTAAATTTTGTGAAGGATGTAGGTTCTGTGTCTAGATTCTTTTAGTTTTTCTTTTGTTTTGTTTCTTTTCCATGTGGATATCAAAGTGTTTTAGCACTATCTGTTAAAAGATCTATATTTTCTCCATTGTATTGTTTTTGTGTCTTTGTCAAGGAACAAAGTCACAAAATTTATTTATTTATTTAAATTTATTTTCATTTATTTATTTATTATTTTTTTTTTGACACAGAGTCTCGCTCTGTCATCCAGGCTGGAGTGCAATGGCATGATCTCGGCTCACTGCGACCTCTATCTCCCAGGTTCAAGCAATTCTCCTGCCTCAGCCTCCCAAGTAGCTTGGATTACAGGCACTTGCCACCATGCCCAAGTGATATTTTTGTATTTTTAGTAGAGACAGAGTTTCACCATGTTGGCCAGGCTGGTCCCGAACTCCTGACCTCAGGTGATCCACCCACCTCGACCTCCCAAAGTGCTGGGATTACAGGCATGAGCCACTGTACCCGGCCCACAAAATATATTTATGTAGTTCTATTTCTGGACTGTGTTCTGTTCCATTGATCTGTTTGTCTATCATGTGTTTTTGCAGGATAATTCTTAAAGTTTCTGAAATATTTCTTACATCTAAGTAAATGTATATAGTTCTACAAGATACGCAGTATAAGAAGGTGAACACTAAGTCAGCATTAATGTAAGGGATAGAACATTGTCAATATAGTAAAGCTTCCACACACCCCTTACTGAAGAATATACCTACCTGACTTCCAAGCTTAATTCCAATATTATATTTATCATTCCGTTGCTTTTATTGTAGTTTACTACAAATATATATCTAAAATTAAACATTAAATTGTTGATTTGAATGGTATCATCCTGAAAAGACCCATTGTCTTTTCATTGTTTTACTGTTAGAATCTAGTACAAAGACTGAGAAAGTAGAAATAGCATGGGTTTTATTTGTTTGCTGGTTTATTTTTACTATTACTTGAAATAATACAAAAGAATGTGTTATCATACTGAAATACCCAGATGCTCTCTAAGGCACCTATAAAGGATTTTCCATTTGACAAATTAGGGCTACAAGGCTGCTTTGAAAAGCTTCTTTGATGTAGTTGTACCCCTGAAATAGTAGACTGAGGATCAGAGTCATTGTATTCCTGACTGTTCCATTGTCACTGACAACGCAATAGTCTACCTTACATTACTGTTTTGGTTTCACTTCAGGGAGAACTACATTTGAGATTTCTTGATACTTTCCACTTCCAGAATGTTTACATTTTTTACTCCCAACAATCACTGGCATGCTGAATTAATGTTTTAGATAAAACAAAGAAGTCAGCTACTGATAAAGATCCCGTCTCTTCCCTGTGTTCAAATGGCAATTCTTTAATTACTCTATTTCTGTAAAATAGAAAACTTGTGGTATGGGGTATAGGAGAGAGGCCAGCATCATAAGGGCAATAAGATGTGGCCAAACACTCTCCACTTAATTGAAATTTGTTTCCTAAAAATTCCAGCAAATACCTGACAAAGTTTGTATTCATCTTTACGACCTGGAAGAGTAATCTCCAATTTTTCCCTACCTTTGATCTTTGTTGGAATCCTCTAACTATCATGATTTTGTTTTGGTGATTTTTTTTCCATTCTGCTCCAAACCACAGGTTTTTGCTGCTGTTAGCTGCACCTCCTGCAAGATCTAGTCTAGACTTGTCTCTCTGCTGAAGGTGTCATTTTTTTAAATCCACTTTTCTAGGAGCTAGCTGTCCTCAGCTTACCAAAGGATTATAAGGTTAACCAAAATCCTAGGCAATGTAGAACAGATAAAGTAAAATCTTTCCTCATCCATCACAAAGTTCATGGCCAACACTCCTATGAAAAAAAAATTAACAAGAGAAAAACATAGCAAATTTAATTAACCAAAGTTTGACGTAACATGAGAGCCTTTAGAAATGAGGACCCAGAGAAAATTGTGTATTTTTATGTGAAGTCTGATGAAAGAAGTAAATGGTTGTAAAGAAACATGAACATACAGAAGGGGTATGACCTAACGATAATAAACTAGGAGAGAATGCAGCAAGCTTTATGTGTTAGATTCTTCTCTGTGTGACTGTGTGACATTCCTTCCCCCTGTGTACGGAGCGGGACACCTGTCCCATGACGGTCTTTTGACCTACTTACAGAGGACAGCCCTCACAGAGAAAGGTAGAAAAAGTCAGGGAGTGACCTCCAAGTTATCTTATTTCGGGTAGCATAGCCCGCACCCTGTCAGTGATAATAAATAAAATAAAGAAGAAAAGCAGGCAATTTGAAGGGCAATAGTCTGGTTTAACAATTATTATTTTAGAATTCAGAAAATGAGCTTTAACATATAGTTGCTATTAATTATGAGCTGTATCTTCTTAATCAAATGATTTGTTTTATTTGCACAGTGGCATAGATAATATTTGCTTCACATGGTTACTGTTTTATTTTTTTAGGATGATATGATTGAATTCACCCTCTGATCTCCAATGGCCTAAGTGACTATAAGTATTTAAAAATAATTCTTGGGGCCTGACAAAGGTTTGGGAGGTATGTGGTTAAATTGCAGCTACTGTGAGGTTTTTGACACTATGTTTAAAAATAGTTATATTCTTGTAAAAATAAATGCACATGGAAATGAACAATGTATACTAAGTAGGAGGAATAAAATATATTAAAAGAATCAGAGAAGTAGTTGTTAAAAAAACAGAATGGATACATTATGGCAAAATTTGCCTTTAGTTTTCAGAGAGGTCATTGACATAGGAAATATATTGGATTCTTTATCTTGTCATTTCTGATTAGAAAAAAATTAATCTTACAAGTATGTTTGAAGAGATCTGGTGTAGCAATAAATACCCCAAATTCTAGTAAATATAATACCACTTTTATGTTAATGTTATCATTACATTTCATGTACAGCTGCAGTTTCCACTAAAGTCCTCGTTATACTTCATGTAAATTTCTACACATTTAAAAATATACAGCAATATGTGAATATATGAAAATGTCTTTTACTGTAAGATCAATTTTCTCTTATTTTACAATGGGAGATTTCAATGGAGGAGAAACCCAAATGTCAAAATCCTGAGTTTTTTTAGCTAGGATTTTGACTATTCCAGTGCCTCTAGAAACAAATTTACTAAGTCATTTTTTTCAGATTCAAAAAAAAGGTTTTGTTTCTCTCACCATAATGGTATCTGTGTAAACTGACTTTGTGTTTTGTCAAAATACTTTATGAGTGTTGCCAAAACATAACCTCCCCTAATAAAGTGACTTATTCTGGTGAAAAGCCTGCTCCTCATGACTTCTTAGTCTCCTCCTGCTCCCTGGAAATCTTATTTTTCACTGGATTTTCCCTTCCCTTCCCTTCCCTCCCCTCCCCTCCCCTCCCTTCCCTTTTTCCCTTCCCTTCCCTTCCCTTCCCTTCCCTTCCCTTCCTTTCCTTTCTGTTTTTGAGACACGGTCTTACTCTATTGCCCAGGCTAAAGTGCACTGGTGTGATTACTGCTCACTGCAATATCAACCTGCCAGGCTAAAATGATCCTCCCACTTCAGCCTCCTGAGTAGTTGGGACTACATGCCCAGCTACTTTTTTTATTATTATTTTTTGTAGAGATGGGGTCTGTGTTGGCCAGGCAGGTCTTGAACACCTGTGGTCTCAAGTGATCCTCCCACCTTGGCCTCCCAAAGTGCTGAGATTACAAGCATGAGCCACCACACTTAGCCTAGATTTGTTTCTTTTTAAATTTATGTGTGTAAAAATAATTTACTACACGCTTAATTTAAATATATTCTTGGGACTACTGTTTTGAAGTTGATTTAATTGAATTTATTATTTCTCTTGAGAAATTTTATCTTCCTACCAAGTGCTTCATGTATCTGTACACACACACACACATACACACACACATATATACAAACACACACTATTTATTTGCTTCATATTTCCAGAGAACTAAAGTATGTTTACTCAGGGAAAAACAAAATGATAAAGGGGAACATGCAACTGGATAGTAATTTCTGAAGCAGTCTTTCCCTACTTTATGTATAATAACTCTGAACAACAACAACAAAAAAAAAACAGAAAAATGTGAAGTTATCAGTGTATTGCTAGAAACTGAGTAATATTTTCACTAACTGAAAGACGATAAATTGTTATTAAGAAACTCAATTTGTGTGGCATAGGAAAGAGCATGGCCTGGTCTACAAAAGCCAAGATGTTTTAAGACATGTTGTCCCTTCTGCACTCTTTTCCCCATGATCAGAAATGCAAGATCCTTCTAAACAGAAAACACGGTGTATGTATCTCTCCTGCAAGGATGTTCCTCTGTGAGGTGGACAAAGTGCTGTTCTCCTCAAGTATCCTTGAGTACTCTCTATACAAATTCATACAGAGACCACGGAATCCAAAAACAAATAAACCAGAGCAGTGAGAGCTGATGGTGGCATACTGAATGCTGGGAAACACAGACCACATCATTAAAATGTAGCAAAGTAGTAGAGACAGAGTGAGATTTAGATGCTCCAAACTAAGAGTTTCAGCTTTTTATATGTTTAAAATGTATTTAGAAAGCCCAAGAACTAAGCACAAGAGGTAAAAGAGAAACTTTCTTCAAATAGATAGGTGTATTATGAACATTTAAAATACGCTTAGATACAGAAGAAAGGGGTTCATTAATTGGTGAGTTCATCAATCTTCTCTAGATATATAAAGGGAATTTGGCCATCACTTAAGTGAACCATATAGGCAAGGACAATTCATTCATGTGTCAGACGGATAACGTCCAGGTGTATTTTTAATCTTTCAACAATGATTGATGAGTACAACAACAACAAAATATTTTACATATATAAAATTATCTATTTACCAAATATTGATCGTGCTAATGTTTGTTCTTTACCCTGGGATGCCTTTAGGGAAAGAATAGTCAAAAATGTAAAGATAAGAAGATAAGATCAAAAGACAGCCATCAGAGATAGAGTGGATTAAGAAAAGATGACTAACATATAAATTTTTAAAACAGAAATAGAAATAGGATAGTTAGAGAAATAGGATCTTCATTAAAGACAGTGAATAAAAGCTATAGTGTGACCCTCTTCTCAACTGTTTCTTCCAGGTGCCTTTGTGCTCCACTTATTGCTATCATTCTTCCAGACAATTTGTTCACGTGGACAGCTGCACCCCACCTTTCATTTTCAGGGTAAACATTAGTACCACGAATGGCACTTTCTCAAGACCACCAACTCTGGTGCTAATCTCCAGCCAAAATCAATAGGAAAATACTTCCACTCTTTTGATCAGTGTTTTTTTTTGTTTGTTTGTTTGGTTTGGTTTGGTTTGGTTTGGTTTGGTTTGGTTTGGTTTGAGACAGGGTTTGGCTTTGTTGCCCAGGCTGGAGTACCACGGTGTGATCTCAGCTCATTGCAACCTCTGCCTCCTGGGTTCAAGCAATCCTCTTACCCCAGCTTCCCAAGTAGCTGGGACTACAGTCATGTGCCACCACACTGTCTAATTTTTGGATATTATAAAGACAACATGTTGCCCAGGCTGGTCTCAAACTCCTGGGCTCAAGCAATCCTCTTAACTCGGCCTCCCAAAGTGTTGGGATTCCAGGTGTAAACAGCATGCCCAGCCAAGTGATCGATGTCTTTAGAGGATTTTATTTTCTCTTTTTCAGCTGAATTTTCAAGGTCTTAGCCATGTAAGGAAAGTTTTCCTTTTATAATGTAGTCCCTTCTTTAGAGTACATTTGCTCTTTGGGAAGGAAATATTTTGTGTGTTTAATTGTGATAGTGTTCTCTCGTTTAAAAAAGTTGAAATCCTAATACTCCAGAACTTAGAACATGACGTTATTTGGAAAAGGGTTGCAGATGTAATTAGTTAAGATGAGTTCACACTGGAGTTGGATAGGCAGTTCTTAATCAATATGACTGGTCTTGTTATTAGAAGAGAAGAGATACACAGAAGGAAGATGGCCACATGAAGACACAAGGAGGATGCCATGTGATGATGGAGATAGAAATTGGAGTGATGGATCTACAAGCCAAGGACCCGAAGGATTGCCAGCTGTCATCAGAAACTAGAAGACAGCCCTGGAATAGATTCTCTCTCAGAACTCTCCAAAGGAACCAACCTTGCTGACACCTCAGTTTCAGACTTACAGTCTCCAGAGGTGTGAAAGATTAAATTTCTGTGGTCTCACACCACCTGGTCTGTGATACTTTGTTAGAGGAGCCATAGCAAACTAATATAGGATCTAATCTTGCAACAATGACTCCTGGCTGCCAGCAGTCCCAGGTGTTCAGTCCGCACCTTTTTTTCAGATCGTTTTTTTTCTTTTTTTATCGTAATCTTTTTCCAAGGGATCCAGTTTCTTTTCTTCTAGTCTGTCCCCATCCAGGCACTCTTAACTATGAATAAGATTCAAGCTCTACCCTATAAAAACACACATGTCATTGAAAATCAAGGATTATTTGAGCAATAGTGTCCATATTCTTAAATATTCCATGACAAAAGCTACAATGCCAGGAACACACACATTCCTTCTGTGAAGATACTAAAGAATAAATTATTCAATAATACTCATTAAAGCCTGGTAAGGTAGAATTTATTCAGGACCATTGTGATAGGTATAAGGACCACTTCAATGATATTTTGCAGTGAGAAAGAGAGATTGAGCTCAACTGCAAATAAAACATGGCAAGTGTGAATTCATAGCCCACAAAGGTCAGGGTAGGGGTCAGTGAATAAAAAATTAAAGGTAAGAAGGAATTCTGACTAAACTGACTTATCAGGATTTTTTCTGAAGACAGGCTAGGGTAACTAAATATCATCTGGGAGATAGTGGAAGTTGAGGAAGCTGATCACATATCGAGGGTGATCACACATCAAAGGAAGGGGGTTATTCTTGATAAACTGACTTAGCAGGATTCTTGCTAAAGCTGGATTTTATAAGAAAGTGCACAGATGGGCCTAGGAAAACATTCAGGAGACTGACTAAAGTTTGGTCAAGCAGAGAATCTTAGCCAAAGACACACTTAACCTCACAGAGCTGTTTAACAGAGACACATCTCTGATAACAGCCATAAGACTTACATGCATTTTTTTTTTTTTAAACAGGGTCTTCCTCTGGGAGATCACAGCTCATTGAAGCCCTGATTGCACTGGCTCAAGTGATCCTTCCACCTCGGTTATAATAATAACCAATCCTCTCAGAAATGTGAGAATGGTTCCTGCTTTAGCCTCCCAAGTAGCTGGGACTACAGGTGTGTGCCACCATGCCTGGCTAATTTTTTGATTTTTTTGTAGAGATGAGGTCTCACTGTGTTGTCCAGGCTGATCTAGAATTCCTGGGCTTCAAGCAATCCTCCTGCCTTGGTCTCCCAAAGTACTGGGATTAGAGGCATGAGCCACCACAACTGGCCAGACTTACATATATTTTCAAAATATTCATGCATATAATGTGCAAAATATTTTTTATTTTTGTATATTTTCCCTATATATGTTAAAATATTTTCTTATCTTTATGTTGTCTATCATGCCTAGGAAAAAAAAAATCTCAGAAATGTGAGAATTGTTCCTGGTTTAATCTCTGAGGTTTTAACTATTTTTTTCTTTACTTCTAAATTTAGTTTTGAATCAGCATTCAGTTTGCTTAAGTACCCCAAACATTGGGACAGATAACCTTGTACTTTTTCTCCCAAAGTGATGTCTAAACTTGAGAGAATTTTTAAAATTTATGAGTGATTTCTCAAAGAATTTATCTCATTTGAAATTACGGAGATCATGCTGATCCTATAAACCATTAGATCCCATGGAGAAATGTTAGCTATAGGGCTGCAGTGATCAGATTGCTCTAGATGCAACAAATCTTTTCTTTACTAGATCAGTAACCTAACAGGTTTTGTTTCTTTCCTGGCTCTGTTTTAGCCCTGTCTCTTTTTCTACCTCATATCATCCATTCTCCAGAAGCTAATATTACTCATCATTTTCATCACAAGTTCATGCACTCAGGCATGGAAACCCAATAATATATTCTGGTACCTACATATAACTTACATAATAAAATGCAACATTATATTTAAAAACCAGTCTTCTGTTTCAAAAATTGCTGTGTGTATGTTGAAGAATCTTGTTTACCCTGTTAAAGAGTTTGAATTTTGTCTTGAAAGTGCTGAATACTTATTAAAGGGTTTTGTGATAGAAAATAAAAAATACTATACTTCTAGTTTTGAAAGCCTGAGGCTAATGGTGACAAGTAAAGAACATGAATTAGAGAGGTGATTCTAGCTCCTAGATATAAATAATCATGGTGACTTTCAAAGTAACAAATGTACTAGACAAAGTTAAACAGGTAAGAAAGGCTTTATTCGAGACTACTACAATAGGGAGAGAGACTAAGTTCAACTAAGTAGAAGCAAAAGGTGAGAAGGTTTTGAGGCACTTGGTTGATCCAGTGAAAAAGAAGTTATGGTGAAGATTAATCAATGGGATGTTTTGAGCATATTGAGTCGTTCCTGAGTTTGCAAATGCTTTTCCTTGTGATTAGGCCATCTGTGTTAGCAAATCAGCATACCCACAGAAATTAAGCTACTACTCTCCTATAGAGGATGGAGGATAGAAGTGTTATTTTCTTCATGTTTACATTTCAAAGAGATGGTTCCCAGCCCTTTGAGACAGACGTTTTCTGGGTTGTAAACTGGAAAGAGGCTATTTACAGCCATTTCAAAGGAACAGAAAAAGAGTATACAATTGGCAAGTTTTCTACAGTAAATGCTGTAAGTAAAGGGGGATCAGGAGCCTAAAGGTAGAAGAAGCCTGTTTAAAATGTGTAAAGCTGAGGAAAACATTGATTCCATGTTGGTTAGTAGTCATTAATCTTTAATATATTCTTGGAACTGTGTTATTTAATAATCTCATTAAATATTTAGAACAATTTTGTAAAAAAAAGATATTTATCTCCATTTTACAGAAAAATAAAATCTTGTAAGGGTAAAGTCACTTGCACAAGGTTGTCCAACTGGTAAAGAGCAGTTTATGACTTTTTTTGAGACAGGGTCTTGCTCTCTCATTCAGGCTGGAGTGCAGTGGTACATTCATAGCTCGCTGCAACCTCGATCTCCTGAGTTCAAGCAATCCTCCCGCTTCAGCCTCTTGAGTAGCTGGGACTACAGGTGCACACCACCATGCCCAGCTAATTTTTTTTAAAAAATGTTGTAAAGCTGGAATCTCACTATGTTGCCTAGGCTGGTTGTGAACTCCTGGGTTCAAGTGATCCTTCTGCCTCAGCCTCCCAAAGTGCTGGGATTACAGTTGTGAGCCACTATGCCCAATCACGGTTGTGATTTCTATCCAGGTTCATCTGTCCATCTGAAGCTCATACTCTCATCACTAAATTACCATGTCTAGAGACATGGGGACTGCTGTGTATTTTATTGCTGGATGTTAGTTGAGAAAAATAAATTTTGAGGTTGTGGCAGTGAGGATGACAAGGTAAGAACATATTTCAGGGCTATTTGGTAGTTAGAGTAGAGAGGTCTTTGTGATTACCTGTGTGTACCAGATGAAAGCTACATTAAATATTAGATTTCTGGATTTTAAAAATGAATTAAATGATGGTAACTTTTGCAAAGATGGAAAAGACAGGATGAGTTGTCTGGAAAACTAAAATAAGTTTGGTTCGGGAAAAGTGAATTCAGCTGTGATAATTAGGTAAAAAAAGAATAAGGGATGAAAAAGTAGTATAGATTGTATAGTCACTGACATACAAGTTGAAGCCATTGGGGTAGAAGGAACTGCTCAGGAATAGTGAGTAGTGAGAAGAGGAAAGAATAGAAAAGGGTGTTTTGGTCAGGAACAAGAAATGCTTGAATTAGTCAGGTTAGCCATGATGAGCTGTATTGTCAACTATAGCAACTGCCATTGGTTTCGGAAAATTAGAGATAATCACATTTCCAATTGTGCTAAAGGCAAAGTCTTCTAATATGAAGGTGTTTTATCAGACTACAAAGCACACCTATATTTACTCATGACAGCCTAAGATTCCTTATTCCTTATCTTATTTAATGGGAATGAAGACCCAAGGCTCAAGGGAAAACGATTTTTATGCTTAGATTCAATGAAGAGTGAACAGTTATCTAAAAATGAAACTGGTAAAAGACCGAAGGGAAACTCAGCAAGGCCAATCTGTTTAGATTTTTCTTGGCCTCTCTCTGTACAGCATTTTCTCCTTCTGGGTGTGATGCAGGACCCTTTCCAGGATGGGAGTCTTATGACCTACCATCGAGCAAGATAGGCAGAGGCTTTCTGTAAGGCCAACTCTTACATAGAAAGTCAGGGAAAGTTTCAATAATATTTTCATGTCTTATGGCTGATTTTGGAGGGAAATTGGTTCTAATTTCTATGATCCACCTTGGGGAAGAAGAATTCTCATTTCAAAAACAGCAAGGATTGAAAGAGACATGAAAATGTTAATAACTTTAGAAATATTAATTTTGCTCCTTGTAATTTTCTCTAGTACAATAGCACAATAGACAAAAGAAAAATAACACATGGAGATAGCTACCACATAATTGTGTAAAACAAAAAATAATTATATTTAGAGACAGATAGATATAATTAGTTTTTGTTTAGATATAATAAATATAATTATTTTTTGTTTTTTGTTTGTGCGTACACACACACACACACACATATATGTATTTTCCAAGAATAATTTGGTAAATAATGACTCATACATGTTATAGAATATTATGTCATCAAGAAATTTTTACACTTGTAAACCAAAAATAAAATCTTAAGCCCCTCTAACAGACTGAAGGGACACCTTCTGGGTCCAAGGAGACCTCAGAGAAACCAGAAAAACTGAATTCCCAGCCACAGTGGGAGGGAGGCTAGATATACCTTATTATACCTGCTCCCTTTTGGAGTTTAGGCACAACTGACCAAAGTTAACATTAAAATAAGGATCATAAGACTGACAAAACAGACTCTGTGGCAAGAAGATACAAAATTCCAACCTGATTCTGATATAGCATCACATGACAGATAGCATGCCCTCAAGGAAATCAAAATATTTTACCCCAAAATATACTTCTTTGACACATTTTTAAATGGTCCTGCAAAGCCATCTTTTATGGGGGAAATTTGTATCTGTAAAGAATCTCCATTAATGCATGCAGTCAGGACTTTCCTGGGTCTAGGCTAGATTAACTGAGTTTGATGTTTTTTAAGGTCCCAAAAAAGACATATGAGACTTTAAATGTCTATTCTCTCTGAAAGCTGTTACCTGGAGGCTTCATCCAAAATAACAAGAACCTTGGTCTCTCAACCCCCACTTAATGCTTAACTCAAGCATTTTTTTTCTACTGAATTCAAGTCTTTCAGCAAAGCTTAATTCTTTCAACCAATTGCCAAAAAGAAATTCTTTGAATCCTCCTGTAACCTGTAAGCCAGCCACTGCCCCGGCAACCACCACTTCAAGGCATCCCACCTCTTTAGGCTGAGCCAAAGTATACCTTTCATGTATTGATTTATGATTTTTAACTACAGTTCTTATCTCCCTAAAATGTATAAAACCAGCTTGTAACCTGACCGCCTCTGACACTCCTTCTCAGGATTTTTTGAGACTGTTTTATGGACCATGGTCACTCATACTGGCTCAGAATAAACCTCTTTAAATATTTTATATAATTTGTTTTTTCAACATAATATTATATATTATTTATTCTTCCCACAAAAAATCAAAAGGTGAGTCACTGGATTAATAGAAAAACTTAGAATAAATGCAGCAAGCAAGAGGTAGGTATTCAGAATGTATGAAAATTTTTTTTTAAAAATTTTAAGAAGACAAATCCAAGAGAAAATGAGTAGATAAAATTATAGGCAAATTACATACACACACAGAAACACATACAAAGAAACTTTATTGGCAAATCAAACAAACAAAAAACCTCAATCTCCTTAGTAGCAAATGAAATAGAAAAACAAAGTTTTACCAAAGATTTGGAAGTATCAAATTTTGGTGAAAATGTCAGAAATTAAAATGGTCTTAGTGGGAATAAATAAAATTAAATCATTTGGAAAGTTATCTGTATATTCTGTAAGAAACGTCAGTTCCAATAGTATTTTATCTGCTGTAATAACAATGGCAACCAACTCTCAGTGGCCTGAAATAATAATGTATGTTGTATTCATTTCGCAGTGCCATGAGAAGTAGAGGGGAGTTGGGAGCTTTGCTCCATGTGTCATTCATCGGGACAAGGATCCTTTCATCCAGTAGTCCTACCATCCCTGAGTCATCCATGTAACCAGCTACATTTGGCTAGTAGATGAGAAATGAAAACGAGAACATCAATGATTTCTTTAGATGTTTTAGGGTCCTGCTAGGAAGAGAATCTATCACTTCCATGGAGATGCTATTGGTCACAAGTAAATGACCTGATTCCACATAAGGGAAGACTATATAATGTGGCCTAGTTTTACACTGAGGAGAAAAACAAAATGAGTTACTGTGTACTTCTAGAGAAAATCACATGCATGTAGCAAAGACATATAAGAACTCTATTACATCATTGTTTATAATTTAAAAGAAAAAGGAAAAAGGAAAAAGAACTATGTCCATGAACAGAAGGAATGAAAAATTTGTGATTTAGTCACTAATGGAATATTGTATACATTTTCAAATAAACTAAAAATGTATAAACCAATTTGTCTTTCAAAAACATAAGGCATGTAAGAAAATAATATTACAAAAGCATAAGTAGAGCCTTATAACATTTGTGTAAATCAAAAAAGCACAATTAAACTCTATGTGTATGTCCTAAATGGATGTTCACAAAGTATAAAAGTATGGATGGGAAAAATACACCCAGAAATTGTGAGATGGGAAGAGAATGATTCGGAAAGTTTAAAAAGAACATTAGTACTGATATTTTACAATTGATAATGGGAAATTCTATTAATTCTGACCAAACATGAGTCTAAAGATGATCATCAAAAAAACTCAGGGCTGGGCGCGGTGGCTCACGCCTGTAATCCCAGCACTTTGGGAGGCCGAGGCAGGTGGATCTCAAGGTCAGGAGATCGAGACTAGCTAACACAGTGAAACCGCATCTCTACTAAAAATACAAAAAAGAAGCCGGGCGTGGTGGCAGGCACCTGTAGTCCCAGCTACTGGGGAGGCTGAGGCAGGAGAATGGCGTGAACCCGGGAGGCGGAGCTTGCAGTGAGCCGAGATCGCGCCACCGCACTCCAGCCTGGGCGACAGAGCAAGACTCCGTCTCAAAAAAAAAAAAAAAAAAAAAAAAACTCAGTAGGAAATATATAAAGAAACTTTGCCAAGCATCACACAGATACCAAGATAATGAGGAACAATGAGACCAAGCTCTGGGATGATAAAAAATAAAACAGATGATGAAAACTGAGAGAACTGAGGCCACTACTCAGAGCCACTTTTGCTTCTAAAGCTGAGCTGCACTTCTGGCAACATGGGAGGTCAAAGACACAAAAGTCAGAACCCAGAGCCTGCCAAGCGAGGAACCCTGGTGAACACCTACTGCAATGAGCTGCACACTAGCAGCGAGGATGAACTAGATGAACTCCTCGTGAAATAGAGTTGCACATTAGGTTATCTATATCATATCAACTATAAATTCCTACAATTCGGCAGTCTCATTGCTAGCATACCTGGACACCTGGCAGAAATAAATACCTTCACTGGAGGAAGATGTAATTATCAGAGAGCTCAAATTACTTCTGCAAATAAATATTTCATAGTAACGTTCACTAAAAATTAAAGTTTCTCTGGGCACATATGGAGACAAGCCATTATGAGCAAGAAAAAGATCGAAACAACAGACAATTCATACTGAGTCAATTTATCAAAATTATGAGACAGACTTTAACAATACTAGGTTTATCTTCTTCAAGGAAATTAGAGCCAACCCTGAAAATTTTAGGAGAGAAAAGGAGACAGAAATATGTCTTTGAAAAAGAACTAAATATAACTTTTAGAACTAAACAGTGCACAGTACAATTAAGAGCTCAAGAGATGGGTGGGTTAAATCAGAAGTTAAAAAACGATGATTTCTGAGCTAAATGAAGCCAAATACCTGTTTTTTTGTATGGCATGTGAGCTAAGAATGGTTTTTACATTTTAAAATGTTTACATCTTAAATGGTTATATGAGTATCTAAACGGTATCTTTTATTTTACCCCTTGGCTTGCAAAATCTAAAATAAATACTACCTGGACCCTTAAGACAAAGTTTGTCAGTTCCAGGGTTAAACAATGAATTATCTCCAGGTTCATCTAATTAAGGCTTAGAATTTTAAAAGATATTTTATAGGCCTAAAGTTCAAAAGTAACTCTCTGAAATTAATATAGGAGGAATGAAAAAATAGAGTATGAAGGATAAAGGTCAGAAATACAAGCGACACTCGAGGCAGGTGGCGGGGACTGTAAATGACTGGTAAATATTTCACTGAAGTTCCAGAAGAATAGGAGAGAATAGATATTGAAAATAATTACAGCTGAAAACTTAACACAGCTCACAAATGACAGCAATCCCCAAATCAAACAAAAGTCCAACAAATTCAAATTCAGCGAAATAAGAAGAAATCCACACCTAGACACGATGTAGTAGAACTTCATTAAAAACTCCATAAAACCAAAGAGAAAAGAGAAAATTTGCAATGTTGGAAGAGGGAAAAATTAATAATTTTCCCTTCAATATATGTGTAAAAAGTGGCAATTGACTTTGAAATGCAAAAAAGGTAATGTTATGGACTGAATTGTGTTCACTGCCCCCAAATTTATATGTTGAAATCTTGACCTCCAATATCACTATATTTTGAAACAGATCCTTTAAAAAGACAATTAAGGTTAAATGATGTTATAAAAATGAGGCCCTAATGCAATAGGACTGGTGTTCTTATAGGAAGAGAAAGTGACACCAGAGATTCACTCCACCCTGGTGGTACCACGTCCACACAGAAGAAAGACAATAAAAGGAAACAGCAAAAAGGTGGCCATTGAGAAGCCAGGAAGAAAGGCTTTACTAGAAACCAGCCCTGATGGGTTGGACAACCTTTATCTTGTATATCTATCATCCAGAACTGTGAGAAAATTAATTCTGTTGTTCAAGCTACCCAGTCTATGACATTTTGTAATGGCAATCCTAGGAGACTAATATAGTGACCAAAAAAGTAGAAAAATTAGTTAATAAATTGAGAAAAAAAATTCCAGGCCATACATCTATCAACAGAAAAACTATCCATCAAAGGTAAAGACAGAAATATAGATTTATTTTTCACTAGGAGATCTATACTAAAGGGGATTTTAAATGATAATACAGCAGAGAAGGTAAGCCAACCAACAACAACAAAAAATGCTCCCCTCTATAGAAAGAGCTGTGGCCAGGATGCACTCTACAAATCAGAGGCTGTATTCCCCAGCCCTCCTCCGTTTAGACAGGATGAAATGACAAAACATAAACAATATGAAATGTGGACAGAAATTATGCATATCAAGATTGCTAAGTATATGAATGATTTCTGAAATCTCTATGTCTCTTCTTTGGTGACTTTTAGGCTATATTTTGAAGATGCAATTCTGACAATTTGAAAGGAGTCTGGATCCCTGAGTCAACTGTAGGAGTCTTGATTTATATATCCTGATGTTTGGAGTCTCCCAGGATAGTCATGAAATCAGGAGGCTGTTCATATTTACATAAACAAAAAATAAAATTACGTTCTGTCGAGAACAGAATTTGGGATTATTTGCCACATCATTAAACCTATGCTGCCTAATTAAGTTTTTGATTGAGCAAAAAAATAATAATTTTTAATGGAAGATAAAAAATACAGGAAGAAAGGTTAACAATGGAAGTAATAAGAATAAAAAAGCAGAATCCAATAGAAATAAAGACAAGAAACAATAAGGACTTTTTTTTCAAGATATTTTTAAAATTGAAAAACTCTGAAAAAGATAATCAAGAAAAAAAGAGAGAAAACACCAATTATAAATGCGAAGAAGGAAAATGTGACTATCTCTTTTGGATATTTGACCCTGCAAACCTCATGTTGAAATGTGATTTCCTATGTAGGAGGTGGCACCTAATGGGAAGTGTTTGGGTCATGGGGGTGGTTCCTTCATGAATGGCTTGGTAACCTCCTTACAGTAATGGATGAGTTCTTGTTCTTTTAATTCCTGACAGAACTGGTTGTTGAAAAGATGCTGCCACCTCCCCACAACCTTGCTTCCACTCTCACTATGTGATCTCTGCACACCAGCTCCCCTTCTCCTTTTACCATGAATGGAAGCAGTGGGAAGCCCTTACCAGAAGCTGAGCAGATACTGGTGCCATGTTTCTTGTACAGCCTGCAGAACTATAAGCCAAATAAACTGTATTCAAAAAAATAAATTACTCAATCTCAGTTATTTCTTTATAGCAACAGACTAAGACAATCACTATAGATCTACAGATGTAATAAGAGAATTGGGTTGTGAATTTACAAGTTTCAAAGAATACACAAAAAATTACTGGGACTAATATTAATAAGAATTTGGCAAGATGGCAAGATACAATGTCAATATAAAAAATAAATTTTATACCGATGTATAGCAATAAATAATCACAAAATAAAGTTTAAAAGTACTACATACAACAGCCTAAAATACATCAGATACCCAGAAATAAATTTAGCAAAAAACTGTGCAAATTATCTATACTAAAAACTATGTAAAGGAGCTTTGAGAAATTAAGGAAGACCTAACCAATATTGCTGAACAAGTTTTTAAAACACCTTAAAAAATCAAGGTTTTATAGATTAGAAGACTCAAAAATGTTTAAATGTCTATATTTCTCTATTTCATCTAAAGAATCAATGCAATGTGAACAAGAACTCAATTGGGATATGTTGTAGAAATTGAAAAGCTCAGTCTAAAATTTGTTTAGAAGTACAA
The DNA here is from genome assembly GCF_000001405.40 of Homo sapiens. Taxonomy (NCBI): domain Eukaryota; kingdom Metazoa; phylum Chordata; class Mammalia; order Primates; family Hominidae; genus Homo; species Homo sapiens. The sequence continues at coordinate 83,502,998 of NC_000010.11, forward strand.
AGGACCTATAAGAGCCAATAAAATCTTTAACTAAAGAACAAGAAGAAGGTTTATTACTGCTCAATTTCAAAAATTACTATAAAGCTATAATAACTAACAGTATATGATATTGATAAAGATCAACAAGTATATCAATCAGAAAAGAGAGTGCAGAAATAGACCCAAACATACATGTTCACTTGATTTTTGACCAATGTGTTCTCTTTTAATTTAAAAGAGAATGTTGTTAGAGCAGCTGATATCTATATGTAAGAGTATGAACTTTAAACTCTAACTCACCAAAAGTAATTCACGTTATACATAAAATTAATATGATATTATCCAGAATCCTAAATGTGAAAGCTAAATTTTAAGCATCTTGAAGAAAAAACATACTGCAATATCTATGACTTTTGTCCAAAATTTCTTAAAACCAAGAAGACACTCTATTTTTTAAACAAAGATAAATTAGATTTTATCAAAATTAAAATTTTCTTCTGACCAAAACTAGTTTTAAGAAAGTAAAGAGTCATGTCACACACATGGAGAAAATAGTAGCAATACATAATCCTACATGGGGTTTATTTCCATAATATATGAAGAAACAATTTCAATTTAATGTTAAAAAGAACATCAACCCAATAAATCAAATACTTTACAAACAAACATAGGAATGACTCTTCATAATATGAAAGTTATTAGCTTTTAGGGTAACACAAATTAGAAGCACAGTAGAATAGTACTATATTCACCAGAAAAGCTATAATAAGCAGACTGACAGTATCAGATATTGGCAAGAATACAGAGCCTAGGGCACTTTTGTACATGGCTAGTGGGAGCACAAAATGCACAATCAATTTAGAAAACTATTTGGCAGTTTCAAAGAAAGTTAAATACTCATTACCCTGTGATCCAAAAATTCCACTTCTATATAATCAATAAAAACCCTAGGAGATAGGTCTTAACACTATAGTATAGAGTAAAATCAATGGGGGAAAACCTCTGAGATTTATATGATATAATAAAAAAGGAAAATAACATATGAATTGGAGTCACAAAGGAGAGTAGAAAAAGAATGGAAAAGAAGCAATATTGGCAGAGATAATGAAAGATAATTTTCCAAGTCTGATAAAAGTTATTCAAACACAAATTCAGTAAGTACTCTTAACCTATAATAGAATACATTGAAACATTTACCCCATGCACATCATTGTAAAATTGTTTCAAACAATCCAGTGAGAATAGTCTTACTTTTAAACAAACCAAAATGAAATAGACCGTTGACTTCTCAACAGGAGACAAATAGATGACATCCTCAGATTTCCAAAATAAAATAATTTCAACCTAGATCCTGTACCTAACCAAATATCTCTCCTAAAAAATGGCTTTTGAACAAATCTCAAGGGGATCGAATAGTTTGCAAATAACTACATGGTCTTCTAGAACAATGTTTAACATTCTTTAAAGAAATGCCAAAAAGCAAAGCACTAGTCAATGTAAAATTTACAATGTTTGGTATCTAATCAAACATTACTAATTATACAAGAAGCAATAAATTTTGGCTTACAATGTGGAAAATAATAGAAATAGGATCCAGAAATAAAAGAGAGAAAATAAAATTTGCAGACAATAACATTAAACATGTTTTCACAAATATGTGCAATATGCACAAAGATTAAAAGAAAAACATGAATATAATTAAAAATGGAAGATATAAAAAAACAGAATTTCTAGATATTAAAAAGTCCAATTATTCTCATCAATAACATTTTTAATGGATGAAAATAAAGCAGATTAGAGACACCAGATGAAAATAAAAGTGTACTTAAAAACATAGGAAAGTAAATTTTTCAAAATGAAGACACGACAAAGAGGACTGCAAAATAATTAAGTAGGGCCTTGGGAATCTATAGGAGCATAACAGGCAGTCTTATGTTTGTGACTGGAATCCCAGTACAAGAGGGATAGGAATACAGAAAAGCTACACATACAATGTAAAACGTTACAACAATATATTTCCTTTTGAAAAAAATGGCAAAAAAACTTTCCAAATTTGATAGAAACTGTAATGTAACAGATCTCAGAAGCTCAACAAACTCCAATCCAACTAGCTACAAGCACACATACACTCAGAGCCCACTTCATAACACTGCATACACAAGTGGCTGAACACTAACTACAGAGAGAAAATCTCAAAAGAAAAAAAAGACATAATATGTACAGACAAATTAAAAAAAACTTGAACAGATTTTTGCATCACAAAAAAGTCACTGTTTAACGGAATGCCATGTTTAAAGTGCTGAAAAGTCAAAAATATATACAAACCCTATGAAAATGTCCTTCGAGAAAGGTAAAGCAAAGACCTTTTTGGACAACAAAAAGCTGAAAGAATTCATCACAAGCATGTCTGTATTACAAGAAATGTTAAAGGGCATTCATGAGGAAAAAGAGAAATAATTCCAGTCAGAAACTTGGATATAACCCCAAAAAAGAAAAAGACCCAGAAACGGTAAATAAATGAGTAAATACATCAGCTATGTTAAAATTCCTTTAAAAAGTAACTTATAATGTAAAGCAAAAATCATTATAATGTGTTAGATGAATTAAAACATGAAAGAAAAATAAATGATAACAGTAGCACAAAGAATATCAGGGTAGCAAAATGAATATGGTATTGTAAGGTTCTTACATTGTAGTTTTAGAAGGTTATTTGAAGATAAACTGTGCTAAGTGCACATACATATTTTAAACACTACGCATATATTGAGATACCTAATAAGTCAACAAAGAGGATAAAATAAGACCCTAAAAATAATTTATTAAAATAAACCATGAAGGAAAGCAAAATGACATTTAAAAAGATACAATAAAGAAATTTTATAATAGATTTAAACTCAAAGGTATTAATTTTATATTTAATGTAAATGGTAAAAAAACACTAATTAAATGACAGATATTGGCAATGTGACTCAAACATAAAAACTAACCATATTCTATGTATAAGAAATAGGCTTTAAATATCAAGGCTCAGATAGGATAAAAGTAAATGGATGGAAGAATGAGTAACATGCACATACTAATCATAAGAAACTTGAAGTTACTATATTACTATCAAAGTAGATTACAGAGCAAGAATCATCATTTCAGGGATAAAAAGAGTTATTTCATCAGACAAAGGGTCAAGACATAAAATTGCTAAATGCCCATTTTAAAACTCAAAGAAAAAAAGAGCTTTAAAATACATGAGGCAAAAACCTGATTGAACTAAAAGGAGAAATAGACAAATCCACAATTATAGCTGAAGATTTCAACCCTCCTTTCTCAGTAATTGATAGAAGTAGTCCGAAAAATAATAGAGAAATAGAAGACTCTAGCACATTGATATTATTAAGACATGCCCAAAAAAACAAAATACACATTCTTTTCAGTTGTATGTGGAACATTCACCAAGGTAGGCCACAAGCTAAGATCTAAAATTAGTCTTAATTAATTTCAAAAAAATTTATTTTACAAGGGATATTTTCTGACCACTACAGAATTAAATTAGAAGTAAATTACAGAGATGTCTGAAAAAGCCACAAATAATTGGAAATTAAGCAAAACACCGCTATATAATCATGGTTCAAATAAAAAATCTCACATTTGAACTGAACAAAAATCAAAGCATAATGTATCAATATTTGTGTAACTTACAGTAAGTAGTTGAGAAAATGTCATATTGGCAAAATGACAATAGAACGATGTTACAGAAGACAGTCTAGTTATATAGACTATATATAGTTGCTTAATTTTTGAAAAAGTTGTCATGGTAATCCAATGAGAAAGAGCTAATACTTTTCTAGAAGTAGTATTACAACATCTGAGTATGCATATGAAAACAAATGAGCTTTATCTCATGGTATATACAACATTTAATTCTAAATGGATCAAAGGTCAAAATGTAAAAGCTTCTAAATATGAAAATTCTAAAACTTCCTAAAGAAAATACACGAGGGAAATTTCTGTGACTTTGGAGTAGACAAAAGATTTCTTAGGGCACAAAAGGCATGACACACGAAAGAAAAATACTGATAAATTGCACTTCATCAAAGTTAAAACATCTGGTCTTCAAAAGACTCTTTAGAAAATGTCCAGTTTACAATAATTTGTTAAGTTTTAATCTTATGTTTTATATACTCGTGTATATGTATTATATATCTAAAAACTAGAGTTTAATAATAAGTAATTTATATTTTACCTTCAATAGTTATTTAATATTCATCTGAAGTGAAAGTTATAAAAATATTGAGTGTTAATTCTGTATCTTTGACATGTTTATGTTTATATTATTACTAATCTGTCTGTTATTCTTGAAATTTTCCACTATTAAAATGTATATAAATATCATGTAGCAAGATAACAAATTCCATGGAATATTATTCATTAAGAAACATAGTATTTAAAGTTATGTTTATACTGTTATTACTAGCTGCATAAAAAAGATATTAAAAGATCTAATAATTAAAATGCTATCAGTATATTTTTTTCATGTTGGTACAAAACTGGGTATTTTTTTCCTTGAAAAGTTGTGTTAATTTTTTTCAACTGTAGTGCATGTTACTAGTATACATTACATTTGATATTATTCAGAAAAATAATCTAATGAACATCATAATTATGATATTTCTACTTTATTCAAGGTAGTTGTCCACCTTTAAGAGAAAGAGCCCTTTTGCATTTTAAAGATCGTTGTCTTAGTGTTCGGAAATCATGGCCTTTCTCTGAGGCCTAGACAGACAAGAAACTCCTGTTTGCATAGGAAGACTCAAGCTAAGGCATCACTCTCATCAGCAGATTTGTGTGATGATAACAGTTGATTAATTCTGTGTTTGCTGGTGGCACAGTGTGGGTGTCATTAAACTATTTTTATGCTTCATGCATATGGCTTTAAATCAACAATTAGTGATCCTCATATTTATATTTGAGTGGCAGGTTGTCATTTTTTTTAATACTATTCTCATATTCTTTTTTATTAAAGAAGTGTCAACTCATAAAATATAAAGGTGAATAAAATCTACCTAAAATTTTCATTAACATATTCGTGAAGGATTCCAGAGTTAAAGAAAACATCAGCTAAAAAGAAAGGCTATAATGAAACAAAAATAAGGATGCCCATACATTCAAATATGAATATATTAATTACTACAAAGCACAGTTTTTGGTTACAAAATGATACCTAAAAACTTGTCTAAGAGGAAAATTTCATCTAACATGATACAAGATTTTTCACATACCAGCTATTGAGCAGCCACCGTGGCAGGAGTTGTGCAGGGTATGTGGACATTCAGAAAGGGAAGAGACATGGGCCTTCCCTCAGAACACACCGACTGGTACACCTCCATTCTTTGTAGTCTGTGATGGGCTCCCACTGAAAATATCAAATGCAAGATCAAGTAGGTTGTGTCTCTTTTCCAAAATGAAATTAGACTCAGCCCAACTTAGCTTCAGGAGCACACTGATGTGAGCTGTGTTTAGTTTTCTGGACTCAAATGAAATCCAACTCAGCCCAGCTTAGCTTTGGGAGCACACTGATGTGAGCTGTGTTTAGCTTTCTGAGCTCATACAGACAGAACCCCAATGTCATGTGTCTTTGCTTGAAATCTGCAGGCTCTCTGAGCAACAACCAGGGCTGACACCTGTTACCAAAACCAGTTTATTGTATTCATTGAAAACTCCTGTAATCTTTGAGACAATGGGGCTCTCTAAAAAGAAGAAGAGTGGTAAAGGATGAAATCAGAGTCCTTTGCATTAAGCAATTAATTAAAAATAAACAAGGACATTGCCCTTCTGGGAAGATAGAGTAGACATACCTTTCCCTGTTCCTTCCACTAAATAACAAACAAAACAAACATAAAGAGGCCTCAGAAATATGAAGAGAGGAGGCAGACTGGCTAGGGTAGAGCCTTGGAACCCTTTAGCTCACAATATGATGGTGAGCTACCTGGGCATTTTTCCTTTCTTTCTTTCTTTCTTTCTTTCTTCTTCTTCTTGTTTTTTTTGTTTGTTTGTTTGTTTGTTTGTTTGTTTTTGTTGTTGTTGTTGTTTTACAGACAGAGTCTGGCTCTGTCACCCAGGCTGGAGTACAGTGGTAAGATCACAGTTCACTGCAGCCTCAACCTCCTGGGCTCAGGCAATTGTCCTGCCTCAGCTCCCTGAGTAGCTAGGATTACAGGCATGTGCCACCATGCCTGGCTAATATTTTTATTTTGGGGAAGTGCCGGGGTGTCACTATGTTGCACAGGCTGGTCTCAAACCCCTGAGTTCAAGGAATCCTTCTGTCTCAACCTACCAGGGTTCTGGGATTATAAGTGTGAGCCATCATGCTTGACCTGAGGTTTCCTTCTTGCCTTACATATTCCAGACTTGGAGCTAAAGAAGCCAGCAACCAGAATATGCCAACAGGTTCAATCTAATAAGTAAAAGAAAATGAAAAAAAAAAAAAAGAAAAAGAAAACAAAAAAGAAAAAGCCTGCCTTCTGCAGCTTGCAAGTGCAGTGTAACAAGAAAGAAAACTTTGAGGCAATAACCACTCTACTCCAACCAAATACTGTGGAAAAAATTGTGGCCCCACTCCACCTTCACCAGCAAAGTCCAAGTTGGGAGCCTAGACTTCTGCCCTCTGGAAATTGTAAAGAGGGGCCACTATCCCTCCTCCCTCACCACAGTGGTATCAGACAAAGATAGTGAGAGAGTACTTTCATGCCTAATGAGTGGTAATGAGCCACCAGTCCCCACTGACCTGTCATTGGTGACCACATGGGAAACCTAGACTTCAACCACCACCCCCAGCACTCACGAGGTGCCCCTTAACTTCTGGAATGGGGTTAAAGAAGGCCAAATGGAGAGCCAGGGCTTTTGCTATGATCCCGCTATAAGACAAAGCCATCCGTTACACCTCCACCATACCTCATCTCAGAAGGAGGCCAAGATAGGACCATTAGCAAGGCACCTGTAGCCAGGGATGTATCAATGGAGAACTAGAGGGAATCTGGCATTCCCACTCCCACACAGCTTCAATAAGGTTCCCCTTTGTGAGTGGCAACAGAAGAAAATGGGGAACCTAGACTTCTCTTCCCACCTGGTAGTAATAAGGTGCGACCCTTCATTTTTCAATGGAGCAGTTTTACAGGTAGTTGCCTAAAACAGGTTTAAATAAAACCCAGAGTCTTCTAACATGAGATCCCAATTTTCAGATTTCAAAAAACAAAAACAACAACAACAACACTCATCATATCATACCAATAACCAGCAAGCTCTCAAACTGGACTTAAAAGAAAACACAATCAGTAAATTCTAACACTGAGATAATACAAAACTGCTTCAATGAGCAATTACAAATACATAATTGAAATAATTTTAAAAGAGAGAGTCTCAGCAAAGAAATAGAAGCTATAAAGAGGAAACAAATGAAAATTTTATAAGTAAAAATGGATAAAATTAAAAGAAAAAATTTAAAAAATTATAATTAGAAATGAAGACTATTATTACCTTTCTCAAAAATCAATAGAACAACTAGTAGGAAATTGCTAACAATATAAAATAGCTCAATTCCACCAACCACCACCATCTAAATATCATTTGTAGATCACTACACCAACAATAGCAGGATACGCATTATTCTCAATTTCCCATATAACATGTACTAAGATAGACCACATCCTAAAACATCATAAAGGTCATAAAATAAACTTCAACAAATTTAAAATAATTGAAATTATGCAGAGTATAATCTCTAATGACAACAGAGTCAAACTAGAAATCAGCAACAACAACAAACAAAAACTGTGCAAACACTTGGAAACTAAACAGCATACTTTTTAATAATCCATGGGTTAATGCAGAAATATTAAGAGAAAACAAAAAAATACATAGAACTTAATGACAATTAAAATGCAAAATATCAAAAATTGTAGGACACAGCTAAAACAGTGCTGAGAGGGAAACTTAGAGTACTAAATGCATTCTTTCAAAAAGAGGAAGAGTCTCAAATTAATAATCTAAGCTCTCATGTCAAGAAGTTAGCATCAGAATAGAATAAAACCAAATCAAAAAGAAGAAAATAGTAAACATAGAAATAGAAATAACATAAATCAATAATAGAAAAACTAGAGAAAATCAAACAAGGGACTAGTTCATTTCAATAAATCAATATGTCCAACTGGTTTTCTAACAAAGGTGTTAAATCAATTCAATGGAAGAAATAAACCTTTTCAATAAGTTGGTGCTTGACCAATTTGGTATTCATAGGGGGAAAAATCAATCTTGAAGAAAATCTTACATATTACACCAAATTAATTCAAAATGTATTACAAACTTTAATGGAAAATGTAAAACTATCTACATTTTAGGAAAAACACAGCATAGGAGAAAATCCTTGGGATCTAGGAGGAGGCAAAAATTCAGTTTTGATACTGAAAGCGTCACCCACAAAAAAAAAAATTGATAATTTGGGCCTCAGAAACTTAGAAATAGTTTACCTGAAAAAGATCCATATTAGAGGATAAAAAGACAAACTAAAGACTGAAAGAGAATGTTATCAAATAGCGTATACAAAAAAATATCTGGAGCATGTAAAGAACTCTCAAATTAAAATAGTAAAAAAAGAAAGCCAGTTAGAAAATGGAAAAAAATTCATTACAGACATTCCATGAAAGATACAGAAATGACAAATAAGCACATGCAAAAATATTCACCATTATTAGCAATTAAGAAAATGCTCATTAAAACCACAATGAGTTATCACTCAATAGTTATCAGAATGGCTAACATAATAAATAACAACACCAAATGTTGGTGAGGATGTGAAAAATTGGGTCACTCATACATTGCTGGTGAGAATGAAAAACAGTACAGCCATTGTGAAAAACAGTTCAGCAGTCTCTTAAACTAAACATGCAACTACCATATGACCCAGCAATTGCACTCCTTGACATTTATTCCAGAGAAATGAAAACTTTGTTTATGCAAAAACTGTATGTTAATGTTTATAGCAATTGTATTCATAACAGCCCCCAAATGGAAAGAACCCAGATATCCTTCAGAGAGTGAATGAGTAAACTGGATAAATTTCCAGGGAATTATGCTCAGCTAAAAAAATCAAAACCACAAAAACAAATAAGAAAATTATATACAGTATGAGTCCACTTATATAGCATTATCAAAATGACAATATTATACTGTCATGGAGAACAGATGAGTTGTTGCCAGAGTTAACGAGGAGTGAAAGGTGAGCAGTAAGTGGCTGAGGCTATACAAGGGAAGCATAAGGTATCCTTGCAGTAACAGAAATATTTTGCATCTTGACTACCTATTTCAGTATCTTGATTATGATATTGTACAGTTTGTACATCCCTAATCTAAAAATTTGAAATCCAAAATGCTCCAACAAATTTGGAGCAACAAATGCTCCAAAAATATTCAAAACGTGTTCATTGCTGACAAGATATCACAAGTAGGAATTTCTGTACCTGACTTCATGTGACAGGTCACAGTCAAAATGCGGGTGCACAACATACCATTTATTCAGTGTCCCCAAGAAAAAATGCCCTTCCACCCCCACCTCAGCTGTGATATATATTTTCTGCACATACCCAGACTCCCCACCTCAGGCAGGGCCAGGGGGGTAATGAAATGACATGTGTGTAGGCCAGACACACCAATGGTATGTTCCTCACAATGCCCCACATGGGGCCAAGACCTATATCTAGTACTCACCATGTGTCGTTGCTTATTCTCTGCTCCGTGGTGTAAAAATTTTGTTGAAAGTGTCAAAAAGGCTCATAGATACCCCTGTAGCTACCAGTAATGAAGAAAAAGAAAGAATTTTTGTTTATCTAAAGCACAGAAAGTCAAACTGTTGGAGAAACTGGGCAGCGATGTAAGTGTGAAACATCTTACAGAAAAGTATGGTGTTGGAATGATCGTCATATATGACTTGAAGAAACAGAAGAATAAACTTAGACTTTCTGTGCTAAAAGTGATGACGAGCAGACACTGCACAAAGCTAAAAGTGAAGATTTTGATTGTGTATTGAAAGTGTGGATGCATTAGTGTTTCAGTAAACACATGCCTCTTAATGGTGGGTTGATCATGACATAAACTAAGATTGGCTGGGCGTGGTGGTGGCTCACGCCTGCAATCCCAGCACTTTGGGAGGCCAAGGCGGGCAGATCACTTGAGGTCAGGAGTTTGAGACCAGCCTGGCCAACATGGTGAAACCCTGTCTCTACTAAAAATACAAAAATTAGCCAGGCATGATGGCCTGCACCTGCAATCCCAGCTACTTGGGAGGCTGAGGCATGAGAATCGCTTGAACATGGAAGGCGGTGGTTGCAGTAAGCCAAGATGGTGCCACTACACTCCAGCCTGGGTGACAGTGTGAGACTGTATCTCAAAACAAAACAAAACAAACAAACAGACCAAAAACCCGAAGATCTATTATGATGAACTGAAAATTAAAGAGAACTGTGAACATTAAGCATGCTGATCACAAAAATTTAAGAAAAGACACAGCATTCTTTTTTTAATTTGTAGCGATAAACTATTTGTTGATCACGAAGCAGTGGCGAGTTTGCCAAGGTCATCGGCGAGTTTGCCAAGGTCATTGTTGATGAAAATGTGACACAAGAGTAAGTCTATAATATTGATGAAACAGTGTTCTTTTGGTATTATTGCCCCCAGAAAGCCACTGTCTCTAGCTGATGAGGCAGTCCCTACAAGAATTAAGGATGCCAATAACAGAATAACGGCTAGGCTGTGCTAATGCAGCAGGCAGTCACAAGTGTTATCTCTCTGTGTTAGCCAAAAATGTGCATCCTCACTGTTTTCAAGGAGTGCATTTCTTATCAGTTTATTACTATGCTAAGAAAAAGGCATGGATAACAAAGGATGTCTCTTCTGATTGGCTTCACAAACATTTTGTACCAAGTGACTTGTGTTCATTGCAGAGAAGCTGAACTAGATGATGAGTACAAGATTTTGTTATTCCTTGACAACTGTTCTGCTCATCATTCAGTGAAAATTCTCATCAAAAATAATGTTTATGCCATGTACTTTCCCTCAAATGTGGCTTTATTAATCTAGCTATGTGACCAGGCTATCTTTAGCTCAATGAAGAGTAAATGATTTAAAAAACCCACTTTCTTGAACAGCATGCTAGCAGCAGTGAACAGAGGCCTAGGCGTGGAAGACTTATAAAAGAAGTTTAGCATGAAGAATGCCATATATGCTGTTGCCAACGCTTGAAACACAGTGACTAGAGACACATACATTGTCTATAACCTCTGGCCTGTGACTATGATCAGTGATGTTGATGTACAAGATGGTGACTTTGAAGAATTTCATATGTCAATTGAGAAAAAATAATGCCTGACCTCCTTACATATGTAAAAAATACATGTTCAGAGTCCTTCAGTAAGTGGAAAAGAGTAGCTATTTCAGAGGTTTTTAACATTTACAATGACACTCTAGTGGTTCATTTATGGACCAATGCTGAAATAGCTAAAATGATTCTAAATCAAGAACATCGTGATACTTATGATGAGAATGATGACATTAACGCAGCAGAAAAAGTGCCTGTAGGTGACATGGTGAAATGTACAATGGGCTTACTGAAGGACTAGAAGAGCATGCATTCAGAGCAGAACAAGAAATCATGTTGGTTTATAAAATCAAAGAAAGACTTTTAAGACAAAAAAAAATCTTTTTTTTCTTAAAAAAGTGGGCAGGTCACAAATATTAAAAAAAATTGTTAACTAGGCAGATGACTCTAAATATTTTTAAAAGCCACCCAGTAGGCCAGCCGTAGTGGCTTATGCCTGTAATCCTAGCACTTTGGGAAGCTAAGGTGGGCAGATCATTTGAGGTCAGGATTTCGAGACCAGCCTGACCAACATGGTGAAACCCCGTCTCTACTAAAAATACAAATAAATTAGCCAGGCATGGTGGCACATGCCTGTAGTCCTAGCTACTCAGGAGGCTGAGGTAGGAGAATTGCTTGAACCCAGGAGGCAGAGGTTGCAGTGAGCCGAGATCACACTACTGCATTCCAGCCTGGGCAACAGCGAGACTCCATCTCAAAAAAAAAAAAAGCCATCCAGTAGAACGCCTCATCACCCCTAGAGAACTCACTTTCTGGTCCCTTAACTGCTTCTTATCTAAGAAAAATAGAACAGTTTACAGTCTTTTAATCATGACACAGCATTTTAGGTGGATACTGAAAACCTGCCACTGTTTGTTGTTACTGTTGTTTAACAGCAGATACAGGTATTCTGGAAATGCTACTGTGCTGCTTAGTTATTCTGAACACATTATTTTTTCATTGTATTAATGGCATGTCACTTTTTAACCTTACTACTAAGTATTTATGTGTAAATAAGTGTAAGGAAATGATTGTTTATTGGTAGCATATAAATTCAGAGTCAGGAATGATGGTGATGCCAAACAACCACAGATTGTCAAGATGGGTGGCTGAGATAGTGACACTTTTGTTTTCTGATGATTCAGTGTACATAAAGTTTGTTTCAAGCACACAATTATTAAAATATTGTATAAAATTGCCTTAAAACTATGTGTATAAAATGTATATGAAACATTAATTTTGTGTTTAGACTTGGGTCCCCTCCCCATGATATCTCATTATGTAGGTGTAAATATTCTCAAATCAAAAATTTATAAAATCCAAAACACTCTGGCCTCAAGCTTTTTTGTTTTTTTTTTTTGAGGTGGAGTCACCCAGGCTGGAGTGCAGTGGTGCAATCTCAGCTCACAGCAACCTCTGCCTCCCGGGTTCAAGTGATTTTCCTGCCTCAGCCTCCCGAGTAGATGGGACTACAGATGTGCACCACCACACGTGACTAATTTTTGTATTTTTGGTAAAGATGGGGTTTTACCATGTTGGCCAAGCTTGTCTCGAACTCCTGACCTCAAGTGATTCACCCACCTCAGGCTCCCAAAGTGCTGGGATTACAGGCATGAGCCACCACACCCAGCCTTCTGGTCCCAGGCATTTGGATAAGAGATACTGAACCTGTACTACAGTTTTGGAAGACTTTACTATTGAAGAAAACCAAGTAAAGTATATGTTGGAATTTTGTACATTATTCCTTACAACAGAATAATCTACACTTGTTTAAAAATAAAACATTTAATTAAATAAATAAGCAGAGGATTGCAGACATAACAAATTAGAAGATAGTGTGTAGTGTGAAAGATTAACCATATAGGTAAAGCTTTATTGAACTGAGGAATCTAATGAAACTTAATTGACAAGGTTTAGAGAAGGCATCACAGAAGACTTGCTTAGAACTAGATCTGAAGAAGTAATAGGATCCTGAAAAGCAGAGGTTAATGGCCAAATGAAACCAAAAACAGCATCAGAGGAACATGAGGACAGGTGGAGCAATTAAAAACAAGGATTTACTAAGGATACAGTAGAGGCAGTATGGTGTGGAGGGAGGAATGGCAAAGGCATTTCTGTGAGGTAGCATCCACAGAGTTAGAAGAGACACAAAACTGGAAATATCACAGGTTTAGAAGAATATGTTCAGCGTTGAAAGGTATATCAGAACTCTGAGTTGTGAATGCTTTTAGAATAAGGACATTTCTTAATCAATATTGTGTCACCAAATCACAGTCTAATATCTGGTGCATAACAAACGATTCATTAAATGCTGTTGCTGATTTCACTGAAAACAATTTTAGTGTAGTGACGGGGGAAGTAGACAGATTTCAGTGTGTCGAAGAGTAAAAGAGAAGTAGAAAATAAACGATTCTTCTTAAAAGGCTTAGTTCTGAAGGTAAGAGGCAAAAAAAAAAAAAAAAGAGGCAAGGACACATTTTATATTACATTCTTTTTGTCATTTTAAGATGTGAGAAACTTGTATATACATCTTTGTTAGAAAAGGAGATTGAAAACCCAGGAGAAAAGATAAAGGTACATATGGAAATGAACCTTACGGAGGTAAATGGATACAGATGTTTGTAGGTGGAGTGGTAGGAGTGCACGCCAGATGGCCTCTATTTTTCAATTAAGTGGGAGGTGGTTCGTGCTCTGCTAAGAGAGAGGAGAAAGAATGGGGGCCAGAAGTCAGTCTCGAGTTTGGAATAGATGGAAAATGGGAATGGAAACTGAGCTATCAACATAAGCCCATTCCTCTTAAATATTTGTCTCCATGTGGGCAGCACCTTTATTCATTGAAGTGTTCTTCCTCACTTTGAAGCTGATATTTTCAACCCCAAATTATGCACTTCTCTTCTCAGCCAGGCTTTCTGCTAAGAATAACTAAAAACTATGTATAAATGTCTCTATATCCCAAATCATATTTAATCAGCATAGTATATTTTTGAACTTATATACACATGTTAATTTTTTAGAGACATTTCAACATTATGCTTTCTTCAAGGACAAAATGAATGAAAAAGCCTAGAGATGTGTTTTCTCACCTTTTGCATGCACTCTATTGAACACAGAATATCTTATAAGTCATAGGAGAGTGTTACCTATTTTTAGACAAGTGCTTTTGTAAATTTCATACACAATGGTAGAAGAATATTTTAAACCCTAATTGAACTAAACCATCTCATTATCTGGCTCTACTGACCAAAGCGTGTTGCCATGGTGATAAGGGAATCAAGTCAGCAGGTCCTACTGTGAGAATTTTCCACTCCAGATGCTTCATCAGTTCCATCTTGCTCATCTCCAGACACATTGTGATCAATTTAATGGCAGAGAAACAGGCTCTACAAAGGGGGAGAAAAGGAGTGTTTTTAGCAAACCTTATGCCAAAATATGTTGACATATAATTTACAAAATAAGCACTTTCTAAATACAATAACACTTTAGGTTTTTCAAGAACAAATGAAAACCTTTAAAGATATATGTATTAATTTAACAGTTTATGAATTTTTATACATATCCAGGTAAAAATCAAAGCTCAAGCAATAAAATGTTTCGTTGTCTGCATAACTGGTCTTAAATATAATTAAAGCTTATTTACATAAAAGGTTTGGAGCCCAAATAAGACTTACAGATTGGCGGAATTCAGGTTTTGGCTAAGGATAGGTAATTTCTATACTGAAAGATAAAATCTAAGAGCAAAAATTCAAAGTAGTTTCAATTTATGTCTCAAAATGGAACTTGGAACTATAAAGCAATGTTTTAGACTATAAAAAATGTTAAAATTTTGTTACTTCTACATGTTTGCTATTATTGCTGTTTGCTTAGCCGAAGTGGCATTACAAAGTCTCAAATTCTAAGGCATTATGAAATTGTGTTTAAGAGAAGAAACAAGAGACAGAACTAGAAAAACTGCCTCCCCGCTCCCCGTTTTTTGTCACTTGTGGTATGGGAGGAAAACCACATGGAATAAAATGCTTGTGACAGGATTTAAGTAAAAAAATTCTGGATAAAAATGGCAAGAGGCTAACCAAACCAATATGTGTCTTTCAAATTTCTTATTAAAGTGTTCATGAAGGTATACTAAAACATGATGCAAAGATGTACCATATTCTAAACCAAAAATAACACAAAACAATATCCCAGAATCTGGAATTAATTTATACTTGCTGGATTTTATCTGTTATACAGTTAGGTGTCTTCTCTGTTTTATTTTGCTAGTCTGTGCCCCAAGTCTAGGATATTCCTTGGCACTTATCAGGTGCTCAAAAACATTTGTTTTCCTCATTGTTAACTGTACAGTTTTTGGATATTGATTGAGAAGAACTTTTTAGACTACATACCATGTTTGGTCCTTTGGAAAATAACATCATAATGTGACAGTGGGTAGCTAGTGAGACACAAACAGGGCAGGAGACGGCCCCCACACCCCACCAGGAAAGTCAGGCGACCATCAGGTGATGATCAGGCAGTTGTCACACTGTCTCTCTAAAATAATTGGTCACACCAGTGCCAGGGAAAGTAGTTTCCCTATAAATAGGAAACACCTGAAACTGATGACCAGCAGTTTCCTGTAAGATCACAGGAGCTGGGTAAGTGGGTGCACACATATGCACTAAGAAGAGAAATGGCAGAATTTAACTCATATATGACCTTCCAGGGGCATTCTGTCAGAAAAGAGAAAAACACCTCAGGTGAGCATGCGTACAACTCCAGTAAACACACTGCACATGCATCCCGCCCAAGCACTAGTGGCCACCAGGCATGCGGACAGCCCACCCCAACAAAAGAATCAAGGGAAAAGGGATGCAAGACCCCAGAAGTATGCCAGCATATAAAGCCCCAAGTCAAAAGGTCAAACCTGGCACTTGTCCTTCAAGTCACCCACCTGACCCTCTCCCAAGTGTACTTTCCTTCCTCTTGTTCTTGCTCTAAAGCTTTTTAATAAACTTTCACTCCTGCTCTAAAACTTGCCTCTATCTCTTCTTCTGCCTTATTACGCCCCTCAGTTGAATTCTTTCTTCTGAGGAGGCAAGAAGTGAGGTTGCTGCAGACCTGTATGGATTCCCTGCCGCTAACAATAAGCTTCCAAAGAAAGTAGGTAAACAGAATGCCTCATCTCAGTGTACACAGGGACACACTAAGGAAAACCTACTATGTAAGTGCCATCGTCTGGGCCAGTCAGAACGAGAATCATCTCCCTATTTCTTTTTCATATTTTTTCTCATGTATACTCGTCTTCACAACTGCCAAGGTTCCACACAGCAGGAACAAGAGAGAGATGTAAGGTAGTAGGTTGCAACTTGGCAAACAGAAGCAGAGTTTGAGGTAAAATTTAGGAGCAATCCTTTCTGGGTTATTTAGATTTTCATATCCTGCATGACACAAAGGGGATTATAAACATTT
This sequence comes from Homo sapiens, assembly GCF_000001405.40. NCBI lineage: Eukaryota > Metazoa > Chordata > Mammalia > Primates > Hominidae > Homo > Homo sapiens. The sequence continues at coordinate 83,519,817 of NC_000010.11, forward strand.
GCTTCTTTGGATTACTCATAGAATTCGACTATCAGAGCAAAGTAGGTGCAACTAAAATTAATTCAACATACAAACACACAAAAAATAATATCCAGTGACATGCAAACTAAAATGGGGTGAAATACCCATTACACGTCACCCAAAGACCTAGCTCTAAGTAGGAAAATGTGACAGCATATATGTGTGCAGTAAGCACTGAAGGTAGGGTCTCTTTTTAAATGCTTTCTAAAGGCCAACATCAGAATTAAAAAGCATGATTGAAACAGAATAGTGCCAGGTATGGTTGCTCATGCCTGTAATCCCAGCATTTTGGGAGGCTGAGGCAGGAGAATCGCTTGAGCCCAGGAGTTCCATACAAGCCTGAGCACCAGAGTGAGACCCTGTCTCTAAAAAGAAAAAAAAAAAAGGATGAATACTGACCAAAACAATGCTAAATGGAACTGGTGAAATACTACTTTAAAACAAGAAATGATTCACATACAAAAAAATAAAATTGAAAATAATTTTTCTAAAAGAAAATGTATATGTGTATACGTGTATATACACACATATAATGTCTTATCAATGAAATGTATTATTTTCATCCAATTACTTTCACCCTCTAAACATAAGTTTATGAGTTTATTCAATAATAATTACAATGTAACATGCACTATAAAATTTAAACTCCCTTAGGTGAGGAGCGTCTCTGCCCAGCTGCCCCGTCTGGGAAGTGAGGAGCGCCTCTGCCTGGCCGCCCCGTCTGGGAGGTGAGGAGCGCCTCTGCCCAGCTGCCCCGTCTGGGATGTGAGGAGCACCTCTGCCTGGCCGCTGTGCAACCTTCCAAGTGTGAAGTGACAGCCTTTCTGCAGGTGTACCCAACAGCTCCGAAGAGACAGCAACCATCGAGAACGGGCCATGATGAGGATGGTGGTTTTGTTGAAAGGAAAAGGGGAAATTGTGGGGAAAAGAAAGAGAGATCAGATTGTTACTGTGTCTGTGTAGAAAGAAGTAGACATAGGAGACTCCATTTTGCTCTGTACTAAGAAAAATTCTTCTGCCTTGGGATGCTGTTAATCTATAACCTTACCCCCAACCCCGTGCTCTGAAACATGTGCTGTGTCAACTCAGGGTTAAATGGATTAAGGGCAGTGCAAGATGTGCTTTGTTAAACAGATGCTTGAAGGCAGCATGCTAGTTAAGGGTCATCACCACTCCCTAATCTCAAGTACCCAGGGACACAAACACTGCGGAAGGCCACAGGGACCTCTCCCTAGGAAAACTAGAGATCTTTGTTCACGTGTTTATCTGCTGGCCTTCTCTCCACTATTATCCTATGACCCTGCCATATCCCCCTCTCCAAGAAACACCCAAGAATGATCAATAAATACTAAAAAAAAAAAAAAAAAAAAAAAAATTAAACTCCCTTAAAATATCATTTTCGTAAAAATGATATTATAAATGTCCAAAGCACTGGTTCTTTGATCATTGATAAAACTCATCATCACCGTCTAATTATCAATGCTATTTCATGGAAATTTTGGCAACTTTATATAGCTTTTTACCATCTTTTAGATGTATTTTCCTCATTTCAACAAAGCACCCTTAGCAAAATGTGGCATATCATGAACAAAGAGAAGGAAAGATCTCAGTCAAAAATTGAAGGTGGTAGAGGCATTTTTATCACTGATCTATTTTAGCACCTACTGGCCTGTGTCCCCGAGAGGTACATCTTTATCCCCTCAGTCCAACCAATTTTCCATTCCTTTTCTCTGTGACAGCAACTGTGGCATGTTCTTTCCTTTCTTCCTTTCTCACTTCATTGTCTCACCGAGAAAGCCAAGAGGAATACCTGTTTGCCGTTTGGATTAGGAAACATTAATATAACTCACGTAAGGAAGAATAAAATGTTAATTTTCTTATCTCCTTACTTTCTCCTTGTTTTCTTATCTCCTTACTTTTCTATCTGGAATCACGTTTTCCCCCCATCTTTCAACTCACACCCTCTCCAAATTGTTATATGTAAATTTATTATCAACCTATCCATTCTTATTTTCTAATTTTCTCTATCTCCTCATAAATCTCCATAATTTGGGTTTTCTATTAGGCTTGTTTACATTCTTATTTGGATGACTATTTTAACACATCAGGTAACCTTTTCCAAAAATTTCTGTAACAGTAAGACAATTTCCTAGATTTTCCTAGGATATGAGGTAAAATTATCTCGTTTTTTTTTTTTTTAAGACAGAGTTTCACTCTTGTTGCTCAGGCTGGAGTGCAATGTCATGATTTCGGCTCACTGCATCCCCTGCCTCCCGGGTTCAAGCAATTCTCCTGCCTCAGCCTCCTGTGTAGCTGGGATTTCAAATGCCCCACCCCATGTCTGGCTAATTTTTTGTATTTTTAGTAGAGACGGGGTTTCACCATGTTGGCCAGGCTGGTCTTGAACTCCTGACCTCAGGTGATCCACCCACCTCGGCCTCACAAAGTGTTCTAAAAAATTTATTTTTCTGTCTCCACTCTGCTAAGCATCAAAAATATTCCTACAAAAATTCAGAGCAATAGCTCAGTTATAAAACCTAACTTTTTAAACTTTTTCTTATTCCTTTCCTCTGAACCCAAAAATCTATTAGGCTAAATAGTTCTTACAACTGATACTAACCTTGCAGTAAATAAAATTTTGAAAACATTTCTGGAATTAGTTTTATGAGACATAAAATTCAGGACTAAGTACTCCTTCAGAATCACCCAGGCTAGTCAATCTTTCTGATTTGGGAAAGTAAGCTCCCTTCTGATCTCATGATTTACAGTAATAACTTTGTGGTAAGAGCCAACAAATACTTAATTAGCCTACTTGTCATAAATGTGCTCTGTGGACAATTAAGCATGTCAAGTTTATACAGTAGGGGTGACTTACAGAGATAGAAAATGTGACTTTAAAGATTGTGAATCCATGGGGGAATTCTTTATGAGATGGCTTACTGCATTAGAAAAATGCAAACAAATCTTGCTAACAGCCCAATAAAATCTATGGGGCCATATTTCTGACTTGCAGTGAAAATCTTTAATTCTAAAATTTCTTGTCTCCTATGCACACCCTTGTTTCATTCTTCATATTAGCAAACTTTCCCCTACACCAGAGTGCTGGCTTGTGCCAGGCACAGCTTTTTCAAGGCTGCCTCCCTGCTGATTTGTCTCCCCTGACAAGATCCAGTTGGCTTCATAAAATGCTGTCTGCATAGTTTTGAACTTGATCGATTTCTTTGAGACATTAGCTCACATAAGAAATATGTCTTCCCAGATGCTGAGGCACATGCTTTCTCTTTCTGGATCCCTGTGAGGCATGAACTCTGGCGACCCAGCTTGGCAATTGGAATTTCTGAAGCAATGTATCATCAGCTGTCTTCAAATCATGGCAGCATCCAAATGCTCAAGCATTTGCCTACTAAAGTAAGAGAAATGTCCTTAGACCCATTGATACACCCTGACATCACTCACCGGCAGTGCCTTTTCTGTGAGGTCAGAGAGAACAGTCAGTGTCCCAGGCTGAGCCTCTGGTTGTCACAGAACCAGGCATAATCATAGCAGGTTTCTTTCATCACCCTCAGCCAGATGTTAGCCTCAGGATCTCCATTGTTTACTAAATGTAGTATCTTCTTAGTATTAGTAAAAGAAAACTATTTTTTAGAGCAGATATTATATATTAGGCACAGGATATAAGAAATGTGCTTATGTTAATACATTAATATCAATGACTTTTTGTTTTAGTCTGTTTTTGTATTGTTAAAAAGGGAGACCTGAGGCTGAGTAATTTACAAAGAAAGCAGGTTCATTTAGCTCACAGCTCTATAGGCTGTATAGGAATCATGGTGCCAGAATCTGCTTCTGGAGAGGGACTCAGGCTGCTTCCACTCATGGCAGATGGTAAAGGAGAGCCAGCATGTACAGAGATCACCTGGTGGGAAAAGAGGCGAGAGAAAGCTGAGAAGGTGTCAGACTCTTTTCAACAACCAGTTCTTGTGGGAACTAAGGGTGGGAACTCACTCACTTTCATGAGAATAATACCAAGACATTCTTGAGGGATCTGCTCCCATGATCCAAACACCACCCCCCAGCCCCCACCTCCCACAATGAGGATCAAATTTTAACCTAAGACTTGGTGGGGTCAAGCAAATGATATTCAAACCATAGCACATTTGCAAGAAAATATGATTACGATTTTACAGATAGAAAAACCAGAGCTCGGTGGTATTAATAGCTGAATCAACCACACCACTCCCCATTTTGAATATAGTTTCATCTGTTGTTACCATTTTTAAGGCTCCACCATCCTCTCCAACATTCCCTGGAAGCTTCAAAATCCCATTAACAATTTTTATTTCAACCTCAACCCCTATAATTATCCTGAGACATTTCAATGCTTAGAATTACCCCTCATCTCAATCATTACATCCCCTTAAACTCCTTAAATCTAGCAAACTTTATATTCGCTCCTTGGAAATTCACTAACTATATTGGCATCTGGATGTGCTCCACTTTAGAATTTCACACTACTGTTTTAATTTTGGCCATGACCTTTCATCCTGACCTTTCATCCTGCTCATTCTCTTTTCCTTCACTCACATCCATGTGCACACAACTGCATCATGCCCTCCAGCACCTCAACTCTTCTATTGCTGTCTAGTCTTCCAGATGGATAAATCATCTCACTGCTTCAGCCTTCTCTCCAGAGACCTACCTCTGTAACTGCCCTTTGTTGATCTCTGTCAACTTCTTTATGCATTAACACCTTTGCTGTTCCTGCTACAAAACCCTGGCCCTGTTTACCGGACGTTTGTTCCTACTCACCACTTCTGGAGAACAGAGACATCCTAGTGAAAGTGACTAAACTGACCAGCCAGGCTCCAATACAAACACGTGGTTTCCAAGTCTTTTGAAACTCAAAATTAGATTATCTGGTTCTTTATTTTGTAAATCTATGTTCTCTCTCAATATATGCTTCCAATTGGCATAAGCATGCTCCTGTTTCCCCCTTAATAAAATACCCACAAAAATATTGGAATTCTATAATTTTTTCTAGTCCCTGTTATTTGTCTCCTTTGCTTTGCATCCAAATTTCTCAACTGTTCATACATATTTGATGTACTTATATGTATTCTGGATTTCTCTCCCACTCTTTTGTTAAAACAACTTCTGATTATGTCACCTGTTGTTGAATCCAGCAGGTGTTTTTAATCTTCATCTTATGGCATCTATGGCATTTTGTACCATGAACTCCTTTAGTCACCCATGAAACAGCACTCTACTGAATGTCTTTCTAGCTTTCAGTCCTTTCCCTTGCCTCCTTTTTAGGCTCATTCTATTCCTCACTGTTATTAAGTGTTGGAGTTCCTCAATATAAGGCCATATTGTAACTATTTACTTTCTCCTAGCAAGCACATCAATACCTATCTTTTCAATTTCCCTTGTATACAACTGACTGGCAAATAAAACCTCTATACAGATCTGCTCAATAAAACTATTTGCAATGTTGAAATGTTCTATAATCTTTGCCACCTAATATGGTACATATATTGAATAAACCTTTCCATTTCTCCAGCTGCTCAAGATAATCACCTTAGCATACATTCAAGATCCTGTGGGGTCATGTCTCATTATGCTCCATCTTCCTTTAGCAGCTTATGCTAACTTTTTTTTCTGGAAACATCATAACCAATTTTCCCCCCATTGAAAACCTTTGGACACTTCCTTGAAGTAACCTTTCTCAACTCCTGGTATCAATTTTCTCAATTATCTTCTGGAAATGTATATTAATTTGTGTGATTCTTTGATTAATATCTGACTCTTTAAAATAAGAGCAGAGGCCTTTGCTTTTTGTAGATGTTTTGTTCACCATTTTAATCCCAGGGCCTAGTTAAGTTGCTGGAATATAACAGATGTACATTAAATATGTGTTGAAATAGCATTTTCCTAAGTTCTGGATTTGTAGATAGCTCCAACTTCTTCTTAGATATTTTTATATGTTCCAAAGCCATCTTAAAATGATTTTACTACTCTGCCCCATACCTCTTACTATTACTACACACACACACACACACACAAACAACCCTATACAGACATACTTAAGATATATGACAACATACTTAAGATATATGACACATTCGGTTCCAGGCCAGAGCAATAAAATGAATATGCAATAAAGCTAATCCCACAACTTTTTTTGTTTCCCAATGCATAAGAAAGTTATGTTTTAGGGGGCTTTAAGATGGCTGGCTAGAGGCATCTGGCACTCACCTCCCCCACAAAACAAACCCCAAAATAGTAAGTAGGTAATCACACTTCACATAGATCACCTAAGGCAGAACAGTGGAATTCAGCAGAGAAGTGACAGGAAACACTAAGGCATAGAAGGAGAGAGAAGCAAGGCAGCCAGCTGGGCCAGGATTGGGTGGGAGACTGGAGAGGCTCCTTGATGCAAGGAAAGGGTGAGTAAAAGATTCACAGTGATCCAAATTCCCACCACAGACTCATGCCTGGAGTTTGGGCGATGGCATTGCTCCAGAGAGGGAGCTCATGCTAGGGGGAGCTCATGCTAGGTCCCACATCCCCCTACCAAACCCAAGCAGCTGTATAGCGCCATCCTGACAGTCCAGACCCTACAACATTGCATCTTGCCCTGGGGTCTAACAGCCCCTGCACCTCTATATCCCTGAATCCCCACTGATATACCCTCCACATCCACCTGGAGGACTACAGTGGTGCCATTGCCCATTGGACCCAGCAGTGTGGCAGGGACCTCAACACTGCAGCCCACACAATGTCCTACTGGGAACAGGTGGTGCAGCACACCAGGGAGGCTGCTCCAGACAAAGGGAGTCTAAGTGTGCACTCCCCAGAGCCTGAAAACCACTTGCCTGGGGCTGTTGCCACTGATGGCAACCCTGTCTCCCACCAGCAGCAGAGCCACTGCACTCTTGCACATATCCTGAGAGTCCTGAGAAGAGGCTCTCCCCGCCCATTACTGCTGCTGTTGCTGCCACCTGAACACACCACTGGGCCCTGGAAATAGCCTTGTCCTGCCCACCACAACCCGGTGGGATTGCATCAGCAAGGCGAGTGAGAATAGGCCCACCCAGCCTGGTACAATCCCCTCAGCACCACCCGCTAGGGGCTTGAGATTGCCCTTCTCTGTCAATGGCCTTGGGCATGCATACAGAACATTAGAGGGCCCAACAACAGTCTCAGAAAACTAGCTGCTGGTGCCCAAACACATGGTCTGAAAGTCTGGGGATTGGCTTGGCCCATCCTCCACCACTGGTATCTGTTCACTCCTTCCAAAAGATTGAGGATGGGCACCCACTCTGCCGCCACCACAACTGCGGGCACCTACCTGCACAGGCCACCTGACAGCCTGGGAACTGGCCTGCCCAGCCAGTTGCAGCCACTCTTAACACCAGCACAGGCTACATGGGAGCCTGAGTGTTGCCCTGCTACTGCTACGGCCATCACACATGTACCACACATGCTGCCTAGGGGCCTGAAGATCCACCCACCAGTCCAGCTTACTGATGCCATTGCTGGCACCTGAGCAAGCCACATACAGGCCCAAGAATTGGCCTTCCTGGACCCATTAACTCCAGTAACTCCACACGCCACCTGGGGGCCCAAAGATAGGCACACTTCACACACCACTGCCACCAATGGAGCTGAAGAATTGGCCCACTTGGCATCCTCATCCCCAGCACCCAGCCTCACCACATCCTCCACTGACAACTGTAGTTCAAACCACTGAGGAAATCACAGACATCAATGATACTGTTTGCAGCTGAAGAAATCATTAGGGGATTACACCATAGCATGCACCCAGAATCAAGGCCAAAGGGCCATACTCAACCAACACCATAATATATCTATAGAGAAAAGTCTTCTCCTATTAAAGCCAATCCAAAAAATACAAAGAAGGAATTGTTACATCAGATACACAGATATCAACATAAGGACACAAGAAAAATAAAAAAACAAGGAAATATGACACCTTTAAAAGAACAATAATTCTCCAGCAACAGATTGCAATGAAAAAGAAATTATGAAATGTCCGAAAAAGAATTAAAAACATTTATATTAAAGAAGCACAGGCAGATGTAAGAGAACACAGATAAGCATTACAAATAGATCTGAAAAACAATTCAGAATATAATGAGAAATTCACCAAAAAGATAGATATTACAAAGAAAAAAAACAAACAGAAATTCTGGAACTGAATAATTCAATGAATAAAATATAAAATACAGTTGAAAGCTTCAACAATACAGTAGACTAAGTAGAAAAAAGAATTTCAGAACTTGAAAACAGATATTTTGAAATAACCCCATCAGAAAAAAGCAATAAAAAGAATAAAATCAATGAATAAAGACTGAATGTCATATAAGAGACCACAAAGCAATGAAATATTTAAATGCTGGGTGTTCCAGAAGGAGAAAAGAATGGCAAAACTTAAAAATCCATTTAATGGAATAATATTGCATGTTTTCACTCATATGTGGGAGCTAAGATAGTTGATTTCATGGAGGCAGAGTATAGAATGATAGTTACCAGAAGCTGGAAAGGGGAAGTATATATGGGGAAGCAGAGGAGTGAGGTTGGTTAATTGGCACAAACATGCAGTTAGAGAGAAGGAATAAATTTTACTATTCAACAGCAGAGAAGAATGACTATAGATAGAAACAATATATTGTTTATTTCAAAATAGCTAGAAGAGAGCACTTGAAATGTTTCCAACACATAGAAATAATAAATGCTCAAGGTAATGAATACCCTAAATACCCTGACTTGATCAATACACAATTAGTGCATGCAATGAAATATCACATGCAACTTAAAAATATTAGGTATACATTTAAAATATAATGTATACATTTAAAATTTTAAAATATATGAAAGTTATGTTTACGTTATTCTGTAGTCTACTAAGTGTGCAATAGTATTATGTCTAAAACAAAAATGTACATACCTTAACTAAAAATGCTTTATTGATTAAAAAATGCTAACAACCATCCAAGGCTTCAGCAAGTCATATTCTTTGCTGGTGGAGGGTGTTGCCTTGATGTTGATGGCTGCTGACTGATCAAGTTGTTGGTTGCGAAAGGTTGCAGGGCTTGTGGAAAGTTCTTAAGATGAAACAACAATAATGTTTGCCACAGAGAAATTTTTTCTTTTCATAAAAATTTTTCTGCAGTATGTGATGTTTTTTGATAACTTTTACATGCAATAGAAATTCTTTCAGAATTGGAGTCAATGATCTCAAATATTGCTGTTGATTTATCAAATTATGTAATAGTTGTCATCTTAACAATGTTAACAGTATCTTAACCAGAACTAGATTTCATCTCAAGAAATCAGTTTCTTTGCCCATCAGTAAGAAGCAACTCTGCATCTCTTCAAGTTTTATCATGAAATTGCAGCAATGCAGTCATATCCTCAGGCTGCACTTCTAATTCTAGTTGTCTTGTTATTTCCTCGACATCTGAAGTTACTTCTTCCACTGAAACCTTTAGTACCTCAAAGTCTTCCATGAGGGTTGAAAGCTTCTTCCAAACTGCTGTTAATGTTGATATTTTGACCTCCTTTCATAAATCACAAATGTATTGAATGATATCTAGAATGACGAATCTTTTCCAGAAGGTTTTCAATTTACTTTTCCCATATCCATCAGAGGGATCACTATCTATGAAAACAAGAGCCTTGTAAATAATAAGATTTACAGGTCAAAATTACTTCTTGATCAATGGGCTGCAGAATGGATAGTGTGTTGGCATGCATGAAAACAATATTAGTCTCTCTGTACATCTCCATCAGAACTTGAGGGTAACCAGATGTGTTGTCAAAGAGCAGTAATATTTTTTAAAAGTTTTTTTTTCTGAGCAGTAGGTCTTAATAGCAGGCATAAAATATTCAGTAAACCAGGCTATAAACAGATGTGCCATCCCCCAGGCTATGTTGTTTCATGTATAGATCTCATGCAGAGTACATTTAGCATATTTCTTAAAGGCCCTTAGATCATCAGAATGGTAGATGAGCATTGATTCAACTTAAAGTCACCGGCTGCATTAGCCCCTAACAAGAAAGTCAGAAAGTCCTTTGAAGCTTTGAAACTAGTCAGTGATTTCTCTTCTCTAGCTATGAAAGTCCTACATGGCATCTTCTTCCAGTAGAAGGCTGTTTTGTGTACATTGAAAATCTGCTGTTTTGTGTAGCCACCTTCATCCATTACCTTAGCCAGATCTTCTGGATAATTTACTGCAGCTTCCACAGAAGCACTTACTGATTCACCTTGAACTTTTATGTTATGGAAATGGCTTCTCTCCTCAAACATCATAAACCATCTTCTGTTAGCTTCTAGCTTTTCTTCTGCAGCTTCCTCACCTCTCTCAAGTTTCCTATGAAGAGAGTTAGGGCCTTGCTAATTCTCTAAAGAAATAGGCCCTAGGGTCTCTATCCAGACCACTCAAACTTTCTCCATACCAGCAATAAGTCTGTTTTACTTTCTTATCACTCTTGTATTCAGTGGAATAGCACATCTGATTTCCTTCAAGAACCTTTTCTTTGCATTCACAACTTAGCTAAGCGTTTGGTGCAAGAGGCCCAGCTTTCAGCCTATCTCAGCATTCAACATGCTTTCCTCACTAAGCTTAATCATTTCTAGATTTTCTGCTAAAGTGAGAGATGTGTGACTCTTTCTTTAACTTGAACACTTAGAGGTTATTTTGGGGTTATTAATTGGCCTGATTTGAATATTGTTGCTTCTCAGGAAATAGGGAGGTCTGAGAAGAGAGAGAGTGATGGGAAACAGCCAGTTGATGGAGCTGTCAGAAAAAACTGAACATAAAATAAATCAACATTTATGATTAAGTTTGCCATTTTTATGCATATTTTTGTGGTGCCCCCAAACAATTACAATGGTAACAAAAAAGATCACCGACCACAGATGACCAAAACAGATATAATAATTACAAAAAGGTTTAAAATATTTTGAGAATTACCAAAATGTGACACAGAGACACAAAGTGAGCACATACTGTGGAAAAATGGCACTGATAGACTTGCTGAAACAGGATTGCCACAAACCTTTGATTTGTAATAAGATACAATATTTGCAAAGTGCAATAAAACAAGATATGCCTGTAGAACAGCATCATGGACCTTGTCATTCAGAACCAAAATTTGCAAGTTTTCTTTAAATTTGCTCTGTCTTTAGGCAGCTACAAAAAAAATTACAAATCATTATTGAAAATAATTAAATAAAGAATGGAGGAATATACCATGTACATAATTTAGTACTGTAACTAATGCTGTATAATTTACCCCTAAATGACCTATGGATTCAATGCAATCTCAAACATTATACCAGCAGGTCTGTTGTTACTGTTGGGTAGGAGTTGACGCCTGATACCCAAATTGACACTGAAATACAAAGGTCAGGAAATATTCAGAAAAGAAAAAAATGTTGAAGAAGAAAAAGTTTAGAGTAATTACAATAGTAGATATTAAGCTATGGGCCAGGTGTGGCTCATGCCTGTAATTCCAGCACTTTGGGAGACTGAGATGAGAGGATCATTTGAGGCCAGGAGTTGAAGACCAGCCCGGGCAACATAGTCAGACCCTGTCCCTACTAAAAAATAAAAGGGGGGGTGGGGGAGAGAGATATATAAAGTTCTTACACTTAAGACAGTCGTATTAACAGAGGGATAGCTACATCATTTAATGGAAGAGAACAGACTACAGAAATATACCAACATATACACAGACCCCCCAATTTATGAAAAAGATGTCATTTCACAGTGGTCTTTTATGCTATGATCCTTTAAAAATGTGGTCCTGAGTCAGACAGTTATGCATATTAAAAAATCTGTGCCCCTATATATACAATTCAACTCAAGGGAGATTATACACCTAAATGTAAAACTTGAAACACATTTTTTCTAGAAGAAAACATAGAAAAAGAGCTTTATGACTTAGAAGATAGGAAAAGATGGTACAAATAGGGCACAGAAAGCACTAACCTTAATGATAATCATTGATAAATTAGTCTACATCAAAATTTTGCTTATCAAACATCAGCAAGAGCATAAAGGAGCAACCCAAAAAATGAGACAGAATAGGAGAAACGTAACTGACCAAGGGATCTCACACAGAATATATAGAGAGAATTAAGAAAAAGATAGACACACAACAGATAAATGAGCGAAAGATGCAGGCATTTTAGCAAAAGTGATATTCAACTGGCAAATAAACATACGAAAGTTGTTCAATGTTAATGCAAACTGGAAACACAATGATACCACTATATCCCCACAAGAATGGTTAAAATGAAAAAGACCCATTACATCAATTGTGGAAATGTGAGGCAACCCAACTCTCATAGTGCTAAAGAGTGGGGGTGTATTTTATAAAATTGTGTGAAGTTTTCACTGTGTATACTAAAGCACATGCATGACCTAAAAATTTCATTTGTTGCTATTTTATAGAATTGCATGCATATTTATAACAAAAGATATATACAAAAATATTCATATCAGGCTTATATATTATATTTAATATATTGTATAATATATTCTGTATATATAATATATAACAGAAGAGCATGCATATTTATAATATATACACAGAATATATATAATAAATATATTACAGAATTGCATGCATATTTATAACAAAAGATATATACAAAAATATTCATATCATCAGGTTTATTATATATACACATATATATGTGTGTGTGTATATATATATATATATTCTAGTCAGGGTCTCCTTCTGTTGCCCAGACTGGAGCACAGTGGCACAGTTATAGCTCACTGTAACCTCAAACTCCTGGTTTCAAGCAATCCTCCTGTATCCTGAGTAGCTGGGAAGACAGGTGCACACAACACACCCAGGTAATTTTTCATTTTTAATTTTTTGTAAAGATGGGGACTCTTTATGTTGTTTTGCAGGCCTATCTTGAACTCCTGGCATCAAGCAATTCTCCCACCTCAGCCTCCCAAAGCGCTGGGATGACAGAAATGAGGCACCACACCCAGCCCATATCATCAGTTTTTACAAGAGTTCCCAACTGAAAGCTACCAAAAATGTCCATAAACAATAGAATAGATAAACATGTTGTGTGATATTTACACAATGAAGGAAACTATGAGAAGGAACTGTCTATCACAATGCACAAAATCCTTGAATTTGTCAAACATAATTTTGAGCCAAACAAGTCTTACACAAAAGAGTATGTTTTGTATGATTACATTCATGTAAATGCAAAACCAGATAAAACTAATCTATGATTTTGGAGGTTCAGTTGGTGGATAGTGACTAGAAGAGGGCACAAAAAACACTGCTGAGGGCTGGAATCTTCTAGTTATTGGTTTCGGTGTTAGTTACATGACTGTGTTCACTTTGTGAAAATTCACAAACTATACACTCGTGATTTGTGTATTTTTTGGTCTATATAATACTAAAACGACATAGTTTATTTAAATTAAAAAAATCAAACTCATTTTTCTCAATTTACCACATGCACATTAGTTGAATTCACACTGTAATATTCTACTGTCATTGTCTGAAGTCTCTCATGATCTCTCACCTTCAAAATAGTAGTAGCTTGACCACTGGTCTCCCTCTACTCAAAGCTATCCTTATGCAAAACCCTTCTGAAAGCCATCTAATGACAAACATAACCACTCCTGTGGCCTATGTGAAACATCTTAGTGATTGTCTACTTACAAAATCTAGCATTCAAGCTCCTTGCTGACAAATCCTACATTGTTTTGATTTGCCTCAAACTGCCTATAAGGCCAGTACTCATCTTCCTGTTTGTATACTCAGTATATACTAGGAACTGACATATACTATTTTATAATGATCAATAGCTAATAATAACCAAGTTGGCATCTGAAACTACATCTGTATAGATCCATAACCCATGCTCTTTCTATAACATTACAATGCCCACTGCTGTACACGTGGGGAACAACTTGCTTATTATAGCATCAGTGTTCTTTAGCTTAGCAATCTCTAACTTGAAAGAGCTGGATGAAAAGGAGTGAAAGGAAATTACATGTTATCATTATTTGCTAATGCACATTGCATACAATCATAAATTGGTATTGTTCTTTCTTAAGGCAATAGGGAAATGCAATTTCAAGGATGTTTACTTTTTAATGTAAAAGTAATCATACTTAATATAATTAATATCCGTGATATTCATGTTACTGAAGAAAAAAAAGTATAAAAAACTTGTTTCACATAGAACAATCTAGGAAAGAAGAGCAATAAAGCCTAAAAATGTGAAGTATATAATAAAAGGGCAAAATTATAATAAAACCACCAGTTATCAGAGTTGTTATAAATTAATTAAACTCCTCTTGTATTGGTAAAAGAACCTAAATTAATTATATAATCTTGATAACAGACTCAATAAAATGAAATTAAGAAGAAAAGCAAAACATTAAAAGAGGGAGAATTGTATACCAGGCAATAACAAATGCAAAGAAAACAGCCTTGGCAATATCAGTATTACAGAATCCAAGACAAGAGCATGAAATAAGAAAATGAATGTGCTTTATATGACTACCAAATGAATGAATAAATATTTATGGCAATTATTAACATTTATGTATCAAATAATTTGACACTAAAATATTTAAAGGAAAACTTATAAATGTAAGGTACAGTTGACAAAATTAGAGTCATGGGGAGAACTTGAATATATCTTAATATTTAATACAGAAAACAGAAAATATCAGTAAGCATAGATGACTTGAATAATATACCACAATGAAAAATAACACCTATAGTGTTTACCATGTCAGGCACTGCTGTATTTATTATATATATCATTATATTTACTAGCTCATTTACTGCTCACAATAAATCTATAGAAAGATATTATTAGATACTACTACAATCTCATTTACAGATGAGAGAATTAATTCAAAGAAGGTTTAGTAGCTGGACTAACGTTACATAGTTTGAAATTGATTGAGCCAAATATTGAACATAGGCAAAATGTTTCCAGAGCTTTAGCTCTTAATCACTTTGCAATGCTCTCTTAATTAATAAGCCAGACTGAAGAGGTATGAATAGGATTTGTGCCTAGATGCCCATTATACATATTCTTTTAAATGTCTGTAATACATTTACATAAATAATCAAAAAATTTCAAAACATGAAAAATATGCAATCTTTTTTGCCTCAAAGCAATAAACAAAAAATACAAGCAAAACTAAAAACATGAAATACATTAAAATATGCCTTGATAAATAAGTGTTGGGGCAAAGAGGAAATTAAAACTGGTATTACAGACACTTTACAATGTGAAAGCAACAAAATGTTGGGTTCTAGTCAAAAAAATCCTCAGAAAAAATAAATAAACTTAAATAAATTTAATATTGGATAAGACAAAATATATGAGAGAAAGAGAGGTAGGGAGAAATCAATATAAACAAATAATATCCAATCTCAAAAATAATAAAAATAATATTTATATATATATTAGTGTAGGAACAAAACTACTGAAAAAATGAATATTTAATAATTTAGAAAATACAACGCAATATCAAGTGAGAAAGAAGAATGTATGTCTATATGCATGATTCCAATTGTAATTTTATAAGTAAACAATGTATACAGATTTTTAAAAACTGTGACAGGAAAACATTAAATTCACTGTGGTAATATTGTTAATGAAATTATCAGTAATTATAATTTTTTTTTTGCTTTAAAATACTTTTCTTTCTTTTCTTTTTCTTTTTTTTTTTTTGGGGAGACAGTCTCACTCTGTCATCCAGGCTGGAGTGCAGTGGCGCAATCTCGGCTCGCAGCTACCTCTGCCGCCTGGGCTCAAGCGATTCTCCTGCCTCAGCCTTCTGGGTAGCTTGGACTATAGGCATGCACCACCAAGCCTGGCTAATTATTTTGCGTTTTTAGTAGAGGCAGGGTTTCACCATGTTGGCCAGGCTGGTCTTGAACTCCTGATCTCAAGTGATCCGCCAGCCTCGGCCTCCCAAAGTGCTAGAATTACAGGCGTGAGTCACCGTGCCTGGCCTAAAACACATTTTAAATGCTCTATGATGAATATTCTGTCTCATTCAATTTGCATGTAAAGTCATTACTGGTTGCATAATGCTGGGATCAGCATGGGTACACAACAATGAATGTAAAGGAAAACAAAAACTAGAATATGAAGAAAAAATTAAAAAAGGAAACCAATAAACTTAAAAGAACATGTATGCATGCAACAGTATGGATTATTCTGAAACACATGATAGTAAAGAAAAGAGACAGAAATGAATTTTTGATTTTGTGTATCCAAAAATATACCAACACTTACAGTGTTAGGAATCAGAAGGTGGTCTCCTGAATAAATAGGAGGTGGTGAGAAAAGGAATCAACAGAGAACACAGGAGAAATTTCTGGGTTGATGGAAATGTTTTATGCATAGTTTGGAAGGCAGTGATCAGGCATTTCCAATTTTCAGTAGAACGCTTAAGAGATATCTATTCTTCCAGTCCTTGAATCTAGGCTGGCCTTGTTATTTGCTTTAGCCAACAGAATTATGCTGAAATGATGCTGTGCCGGTTGTGAGTCCAGGCATCAAGAGGCACTTTTCTTTCTCAGAGCCCTGCTGCTGTCATCTGAACAAGCTCAAATTAATCTTTTAGGCAATGAAAGATCATGGGAAGGAGAGCCTAGTTTTCTCAACCTTCCTAAGAGTGGCCATCCTAGACTAAATTGCTCACAGTTGGCTCACAGCTGACCGTAGATGCCTGATTCTTTCAGAGACCAGAACTATGCAGCAGACCAATAGACTAGTAAGCAGTAATAAATGCTTATTCATTTACGTCATCGAGTTCTAGCCTGGCTTACTGTGCAGCAATCACCAGCAAATACCTATGAGAACAAAATTTACAGTCTTTCAGTTTTGTCGTAAAGAATAAATGGGCTAAAGGACTTAAAGGAGCATTGAAAACTGAAAAGTACTAAAAATATAAGAATTGATCAGACATATGTCTATTTTACAATTTTCCCTGGGCCAAAAAAAGTTATAAGGAAAATAATCATAAAATGTTAGGGCTATATTTGAGATCTACTATTGATCAATAACACATGGATTTTATATCTTAGGCAAAATCTCATTGAATAGTGATAGCTTCCTGAGTGCTGAGCTATGAAAGATTGTTCAGTTACAT
This sequence comes from Homo sapiens, assembly GCF_000001405.40. Classification (NCBI taxonomy): domain Eukaryota; kingdom Metazoa; phylum Chordata; class Mammalia; order Primates; family Hominidae; genus Homo; species Homo sapiens. The sequence continues at coordinate 83,537,033 of NC_000010.11, forward strand.
CTACATTCAGGAGAAAAAATGAACTAGTAATGCTTGCATTAGGCATAGAATATACAACTTGCTTCTGTTCTGATGTTGTCCAATCTTCTCATTTTGGGATTAGAAACTCAGATTTTGAGAGAGATGATGTTTTTAAAAAGTCATTCAGAAAATTAGTGGCAGATGCGAGTTTTTAACCAATGTGTTTTGAGTAAACTAATTGAAAGTTTACCGTATCCATGGGTAGTTTTAAAACATTGAAGTCCAGGCAATGGTTCCTATCTAATACTTTTTGAAAATAATTAATTCTTGAATATTAGAAATATTATTGCTAAGAAACTTGAAGTTTTGTCAAGCAATCAACCAGCTCCCCTATCCCCTCCCACCTCCATGGTTTAAGCCTATTATAGAAAAAAGGATAAGCAGAGATATGAAAGAACAGCTCACCTACAACCCCCAAGTAGTGTGTGTTGAGACTATCGTCCATTTCTGAGGACAATTGGTCCAACATTTATCATGATCAATACATTTGTTAACAAGCAGAAGCCCATTCTTACCTCTGACAGATTTATTTGTAGAAGATGCTGTGTCACCCCAATGTCCTGGCTGCTGGTCAATTCAAGTTTTCATCCCATAACTAGTAGAGCCCAAGGCAATCAGTAAAGAGGACTCTTAGAAAATCATTGACTTTGGGCACAGGAGGAAAGCAAGGAGAGGCCTAAAGGAAAATTGAGCCTGAAAAGTCAAACGGATTTTAGCTGAGCAAGTTTTAAATTTGGAGAGAGATATCAATTTATAGGCAATCTTTGTGGTGTCCTCAAAAAATATGCCACAGAAATTGGCCAAGTTTGGGTTAAAAAAAAAAAGAAAAAAATCCCTGTGATAGTCAGGCTCCGGGGTGATAGTGATTAACAGAATACATTATGGTATTCAACAAATTGGACCCCAGATCATATCATCTCATCTCCTCTGAGTATGAATAACTTTTCACATAAAAGGCAACCAGAGGAAACCATAAACAGGGATTCATCTAAGGTCTCTTCATCTCAGAGAATAGCAAGATGTCCTACCAGGAGTCCCAATTTGGATGGGAGGAACCCTGAAGTAAAACATTTAAGGATATTATTCTCAGCTGCCTGTTTAATCATAGGTGAGAAAGAACAGGCCTTCTTGCCTTGTCATATAGTCTTACAGTGGGATAGCCTCATTCATCAAAGTTATAGATTTCAGATATGAAGACATCAAAGACAATTTGCAGGCCTCTTGGCAGAAGCCATTCATATATTCCATCTAGTCTGCCAACAGGTAACAGATGTGTCCAGTGTCTAGTCCTGGCACATACTCTTGTTCTTGCATGGGATCTGGCAGATGTCATGTACTTCTTCAAAGTGATGAAGTGGAAACACTGTTGACTTGAGATCAAACAGACATGGATTTAATTCTAGCTCTGACATAAACTATATGACTTTGCTCAAGTATATTAACCTCTTGGAACTTCATCATTTGCACAATGTGAAAAATACTTCATAAGGCTGCTTTGAATGTCAATAAGTTAATGTAAGTAATGCAAGTCAGCAGTGAATATGCATACAAAAAATCTAACTTATATTGTGTGGTCAATAATGTCAGTGCTCTTCCATCTAAAAGGCCAAAAAGCATGCCCCTTCCATCATTTCTTTCACTGATTGATAGAATGAAATATATCCAATATTTAACTAATAACAAAACAGCTGTCTCTATTTCAAACATTCATACTTTCATTTGAACATGGGAGGTTCTGAATTTTCATCTTTCTGAATCCCTTATTAACTATAAAATCAGTTGAGTGGAGTTTCACCTTAAACTCTGATTGGATAAACATCTAGACCTCAATCATGTTATATGTGGCCAGTGTGCTTGTTGTTGTTATAAGTTAGAGTTGTTAATTTATGAAAACACTGCATATGTTTTGGGACTAAATCAGAAATCATTTTTCAGTATCCAGAGCAGTCAAGTAATAGCATAAAGAGATGGTTTACAGAAATAAAAGAAAGAAAATTGTTTCAATTAGCTACCTCCTGTATGCTTTTCTAAATAAATACCAAGATTCACCCTATCATATAGTTTCACATTATGATAGTCTCATTCTTCATTTATAGATATTATATATGAAGATACCAAAAAGAATATGCAGGATCCTCAGTAGAAGCTGTTGGTGTGTTGTTACTCATAGGTACACTATGGTAGAAGAACACCCACGTCCAGCTGAAGGGCCATTGGGCTAACATCCTGGCACACCCTGGCCCAGGTGCAACCCAGAATCTTTGCATCCCTTCCACCCAGCTTGTCTAATTCCTGTCCCTATCCTTAACTCAATAGGAGCCCAGGATATAGCTGCTCCCTTTTGATAACCATGAACCATTGACATTTCTTTCTTCTTAACTTCCCATTGTTGTAATATTTTCAGAGATAAGTAAGGGTGATCTTGACCACAAAAATCAGGCTAGATTTAAGATTCATTGATTCCTCTTCATCTTGAAATTTTTGGGGTCTCAATGAGTAAATCAATTAGCAAATCAATTAGCTGATCTAGATTAATTTACTTTTCTGAGCCTCAGTTTCCCCAAATGTAAAGACAGTGAAAAGACTAAACTCTTTGGTGTTGAACCAGTTCTGAGGTCTTTTATGATTCATCACAGCTTCCAGCTGTGGGCAGCTGGGGGCAGGCATAGAAGAGCCATTCTATGATGTTTTCCTCTTGGCATAAGCTACTCAGTCACATATTAAGAAATCTCTGCTACCAAATTTTCCAAACCCAGATAGGCTTCCCTTTGGTACCTTAGTACCTCTCTTTCAGTCTCCACTCTGAAATTCTGGGTTTTGATCATACTTCTATTTTCACATAGATTGTCGCACATTCTTTTTGCCCAAGCTCTTTACTCCGGGTTGTTACAAGCTGTTCTGAAAGCTCTGAGTACACTTTTCAGAAACAGCTGTTCTGAGTCAAGGTTGTTTCTGTTCCACAGCAGTGATTTAGCTCAGACTAACTTTTCTCCCCACAATTATGAGCTCATTGCAGTCATCCTGTGGGACCTGTATCTGGCAGGGGAAAGTCTGTTGGAAGAGCAAGAAGAGGATATGGAACAAGCCTGCAGCCCTGGATGACAGGTCTCCCCAGAGATCCCTCCCCCAGCTGGAGCCAGCCAAGCCTAGCCTTTCTGCTGACAGTCATTCCTGCTTCCTGCTTCACCCATGTGGCTCCTGACATGCTGTTTGAAAAGATCTGTAAGGTAGCTGTGTGGCCTCATTTCTGTAAGGATCTCCAGGGAAGCCAGCTTTCTTGGTAACTGCATAATTTATGTCATTCACCTGCTTAAAGGCTCTCAGAGGCTCCCTATCACTGAAAGAATAATATGTAAACCTTTTAAATGACTCCCAAGGCCAGCTTTCTCAACTGTAAAATGCGGTTCAAAACACCTAATTTGTGGGGTGGTTCTGAAAAGTAAATAATTAAATATGCCTAGGTTTCTGTGTAGTAAATAGGGTACAAAACAATTATCAGTTTTCTTCCCCTTCCTGATCTGGTCCTTATCTATGTTATAGGATTATCTCTTATTACTCTCATTCTTCATTTCAGTTATCCAGTCTACTTTCATTCTTCAAGTATTCTTTAATATTTTTATTCAGATTGTATGTGCCTGTTCATATACAATCTTTCTTGAAACTTATGCTTCCCTTTTCTTTTCAGAAAAAACAGCTCATACCACAGCACTCATTTTCACTCTCTTTCAAAGTATAGGTAGTCCCTCTCTTCTTTTCCTCCAGTGTTCCACTGCCCTGGTACAGTTCTGTGACCGTGTTTGGTATTTTGTCATTAATGTAATGATAATAATAGCTATCATTCCTAACATGCTTATTATATACCCAAGACTGCATTTTCCCTTTACAAACATTAGCTTTACTTTTCAAAGCCAGCCTACAATTGTTGATATTTAGCCTCCAATTTAGATGAGAAAAATGACACTGAAAGGGGATGATGTTGCCCAAATATACAGCCTAGTTTGACATGTGCCATGTTGACTAGACAGTACTTCTTAAATAACTATATAAGAGACCTGGCCCTCAGCAAATAACTGCTAAGAGATGAATGACTCAGAAAAGTCTCCCCTTTGATTCTTGATTCTTTTCTCACCAGCATCATGAGCTTCTCTTTTCCTTAAAGGACACATCTGTTCAACCCAGTCGTGTTTCAGTATGTACCATCAAAGAATTGCAGAGGAATGCAATAGATCATTCAAATAAAACTTTTGTTTGTATTACAGACATTGAAACAGACTTGGAGTCATTCAAACCTTTCCTGAGGTCAAAAGTGAAGCAGTGAGGGAACTGGAATTCCAATGACATTCACTTTATTCTCAAGCTGGTGTTCTTTGCACAGCTCTGTTTAGCAGGTTGGGGAAATGACTGGCTGGTTTTCAAATCTATAAAAGCTGGAGCACAACTAGAGAGGCTTCAAAACCCAACACAAGCATCACTTCCTCCAGGAAGCTGTCTGTTTAGAGCTGATCTAAGTCAATATGGCCATTTATATTTAGATCTTTGGTAAATATTGGTATCTTCTCCAAACTTAGAAGAAGGTAGAAACTATATGTCAGCTCTTTCCACAAGCTCAATTGAGTGGTATACAATGAAAGAAAGTATACCACTTGCTTTCAGACCAAATACTGACACCCAAAGTGATGTTTATTATCTAAGCAGGCATATAACAACTTTACAACCAATTCTTGTAGACTTGTTGAAGTCTTGACTTTCTGTCAAACACAGAGAATGTGTTTGAAAGACTGACCCAAGGCAAATACAACAAATATTTTGATAGCAAGATCAACCATTATTCTTGTAAGGTTCAGTGGCAGAATCTTTTTTAAGTGGAATAAAACAAGACCAAATGAAATTCTAGTTCTATAGCACTAGTGTGAGGGACTCAAGTGCCTGGTTCATCAAATTCTTATTTACCCATTAAACAAAAGTGATGTAAGGACACAATTATTCTAGTCAAATAGCCACGCACATATCTTAAACACTGTTTCACTCATAAAAACATTATTTCTAATCTATATTATGTAGTTAGCAATCCCCTTTGAGCATGTTCTGATACCAGCATTTGAAATGCATGCCCTAGAGTGTAAACCTCTCTGTGTAGAGGTAACTCAATATACATAGAACCTAGATTCTTCATTAGAATTATTTGGGTGTTCTTCCAAAGAACCCCTGATCTTCATAGGGTACAAATTAAATAGATTTATATACACATGCATTACCTTGTCTGTAGACAAATAAATCACAGATGATATACCACCACCTCCTTTGTGGTCCTGCTGCAAGGTTCATACTTGTTAGAACCTTCAGTGCATGGAGTAATTGTTCAGGTCAGGCATTTGCCTCTGCCACCAAACACTAGTTATTTCCATTCTACTAAGCACCCGTTTTGCATGGTGACTGGCATAAAGTTCACATGCAATAAGTGTATGTGATCTTTTAATAAATGACTGGATCAGTTAATAAATTAGAATAAGCAGATGTTGGAATTATCACTCCCACCTATTGCCTCCACTGTGGTTATTCTGACTAAAGACAAAGCAAAAATGGTGGGGAAGGAACTTTTCTCTGTTATAGCATAGCTTGTGACACAGAACTAGATGGGAAAAACTAGAGTCCCATATAAAGTTAGGTTCTACCTGCATCTGACTTTCTCTTCCATCAGGCAAGCCAATATACCCCTTAGAGGGCTGGTCCTTTAAGGCAGGCTGACCTCACTAGAGAAGGCAGAATCTTTGTGGTCAGCTGTGACTTGCAGCTGAGGTATATGCTAGGGAAGAAAGAGGGCCTAGGTTAGTAGACAACCTCCCCACTCAAAAACCAACTTTGCGCATTCTCGCTGTGTTTGCTTTACTTCAAAGGCTGTTTTTATTGTCACCCAGGCATAGAAACTAGCCTTCAGGGTTTACTGCATGTCCTGACATGAAGCTTCTCACTGTCTAATTTGCATTCTAAATAGGTGCACAATTGATTCACAAAACCTCTGTGCTGCTTAACAGGACAAATGAATCATTTACTTTCCAAATTGCAGGGAGCTTTGAGGTCAGTCAGCCTGGGAAGCCACAGAGCCTCTCCCTCAGAGACACAGAGGAATACAAACAAGCAGGCTCCAGCTTTGGGAACCATCTCCATTTGAGTGGCCAGTGCCATCATCCTCTTACAACACTCAGGGGATGCAGGGTATTAGCATGCTCAAGCCAGCATATGGTACACATCTTATTAACGTAATCGCAGGACTCCAGCAAGCTGTTTTCCAGATGATTTGGACCCCTGTGAATATTCATCTCTATTCTCTGCCTCTGCTCATCTCTGGAAGGAATAATGCATACACATTCCTTTTGCCCAGTGGACTCCAAAGAAATCTTTCCAGTGTTTATAATACCTGTAAAACCCCTCTGTAAATAACACTCAGGCCACACTGAGCAGATTGAAGCCAAGAAGCTCAGTTCTGCCTGACAGCTTTTCCCCAATTGGTTATTTTTAATGTTAGAAAAGAAGAACGGCTCCTGAACAGAAGATTCACACTAACCTTAACTTAGACATTTTTTATGGCTCTTTAGTGAAAGGCTATTTTTACATTTTTGAAAGATTAAGTGAATTCAGCTTCTTCATCTAAAAAACTGTTTCTTTTTATGCTGGCCAGTGACAAGTTTAAATTTAAAAACAAAGAATAAGAATAATGATAAAAGTGGGCCTTAATTAGAAGATGTACGTTGTTTTCTGTTCAGCCAAGACCTCCCTCCCTCACCCCAGTCTCTGTCTCTCCCCTCAATCCTTCCAACCATGAATGCCAAGCATTGCAAAAGATTCTTTAGCTAACAGTGACCTGGGAAACATCTGGTCTGGAAATTAAGAAATATATTGGGGATATATCTTTAAGATGAAATGAGAGGCTTCATTCAGACTGCAGAAGAATTATTTGTGACTCATTCATAAAAGTGAGAAAGAAGATCAACAAGGATGTTTTAGTACCCACCAGTAGGGAGAAATGGAAATGCAGAAGAAGCTAATATTTATTAAGTACTTACTTATGGAAATAAACAAAGACCAACCAAATGAGAACAAGCATAGCTATTTTATTCAGAGCTTGCAAAAGCAAGGGAGTCAGCCATCTTGCATTTGGCACAGACTCAAAGGGAAAGCAGCAGGGTGGGAAAGCTTTATAATGGAACAAAGGGAAGGCTTCCTATGTGCCCTGATTGGAAGTTGTTGGCGTGGGGAGGCTGAAGGAGGGCTGACTAGATGTGGGGCATCCTATGTGATTGGTTTGGAAAACATATTTGGCTTGCTCTGGTTGGTCCTGAGTTGGCAGCAGAGACAAAAATTAGAGAAGCTGGCAATCATTGAGCAAGCCTGTATTCTGGACTGATTGCTGCAGAGGCTACAATCTGGCTTCCTAGACAGGTTGCTGAAGAGATTGTGGGTCAGGGTTGGTTCTATAGTCATATATTTTGTCCTTTTATCATGTTGTCTCGATTGCTATATACATTTTATATTTGTATATTCATTCCCTTTTTGGATGAATTTTTTTCTTTATTGCATTATATTTGAATGTAGTTATTCATCAAATCATAATTAAGACTGATATGCAGACCTAATTCATTACCATAGCACTTACTGGAACTCAACATGTGACTTGTTAATATTCGTTCTAATTTAAGGGCAAACAGAATTATTCCATTTCAGATATTGAAAGGTATTTTAAATACTTGAACAAACTGAGATTGCTCTATTTTGCCTTAAATTTATTTTCCTTCAGCTAAATATCCATAGAAGTTTAATCTAATATGGTTCACAGATTATAATATCAATTTGACTTTTTTCTGTTTGTATGGAATTTCAATGAGAATTTGTGATACATATTTTATTATTGCCTCTAGAAAATTTTATTTTACAGCAGAGGAGAAAAACATGTTTTGCTTTTTTATCCCCAGGCAAATAGTTTAATATATATACATACATATATAATATATATTAGTTTAATATATATATTATATATTAGTTATAGCTATATATTTCAATAGCTTTGGGAGTACAAGTGATTTTTGGTTACATGGATAAGTTCTTTAGTGGTGATTTCTGATATTTTGGTGCACCCATCACCTGAGCAGTGTACACTGTAAACTGTACCCAATATGCAGTCTTTTATCCCTCACTTTCCTCCAACTCTCCTCCCCCAAGGAGAGTTCCCAACATCTATTATATCATTCTTATGCCTTTGCATCCTCATAGCTTAGCTCCCACTTATAAATGAGAACATAGAATTTTTGGTTTTCCATTCCTCAGTTACTTCACTTAGAATAATGGCCTCCAGCACCATCCGATTTGCTGCAAAAGACATTATTTTGTTCCTTTTTGTGGCTGAGTAGTATTTCATGGTGTATGTATACCACATTTTCTTTATCCACTCATTGGTTGATGGGCACTTTGGTTGGCTCCATATTTTTGCAATTGCAAATGTGCTGCTATAAACTTATACCAAAAGCCAGGTACTGTAATTTCATTTAATTACCACAGAAATCCTATGGTGGGGGAAAAGACATTGTTTTACTGTCTCAAAAGGTTAAAACCTGAAACAAGTGGCTCAATATATTGAGCTAGTGTTGCAGTCTTGCAAATGCACCTTTATGTAGCAGTTTCTCTTGTGAGGTATCACCCTGAGTCCTTCATCTCACCTCCAAGATGACTGAGGAGCACTGACACACGGGTGAGGTTGGAGCAAAACTTTTATAAGCGAAAGGAGAAAGCTCTCTGCAGAAGAGTCTGAGTGGATTGCCGGGTCACAGCTGAATGCAAAAAGCTTTTATAAAAAACTGCTCTCCTCCCTGTAATTGTTTGAGGAGTAACTTTTCTTATCAGTAACGCTGTCTGTGCAACTCCCTTTATCCAGCTGTGGGATGTTTCTAAGTAAGCACAAAGTGCTGCTTCTCTTGTTCATGTAACTGTGGGTTTGTTTTAGGTAAGCCTCCTTCCTCCCTGTGCAAGTTCCCACGGAGCCCACTGTGTATATGCCTGAAAAGGGGAGGAAACGTTTTCCTGGAGCTAATTATACAAAGAACAAAAATGCTTCTATGCCTCACTGGCTCCTTATCAGCCCCTGAGCTTATCTGTGCAGCTGCAGCAGCTGTGATTTTTCAGGCAGGCATTTCCCCCGGGGCCCAGCCTTAACTATTTACCTAACTGGTTTTTCCCTACCTTCTCCCTCACTAGTGAGTGGCAGGACTAGGTTTTGCATATTAGGAAAGGCTGATTGAGAAGCTCACACTCTTTCCCACAAGTCCAGTAAGCCTCATTGGCTCAGGTGGAGATGATGTTTACTCCTGGAGGTCCGTGTTGGGAGCATCTGCAGAGATCACAGAGATTTAGGGTATGGCCAACTTTTATGTTTCTGTAATGTTCAGTCTAGCCTCGGCTTCAACATGGCTTTTGCTTCCATGAGCTGGAGACGAGGCTCCAAAGTTTACATGGAGATATCTGGTTGAAAATTACAATGAATAGCTAGCCAAGTATGGAATGCCTATTCTTGAGGTCATTTTCACAAATAACATGCCATTAAGATCTTTTTTAAATAATTGTACTTTTATAAACTGGATTATGCTTTAAATTGCATTAGTAGAAAGAAATATCTTAAAAATAATATCCCTTAAGAAAATTCACAGGAGACTAAAAGATACAACCAATTATTTGCCCAGGGGACTAAAAAATACACCCAAAATATATGCAAAAAATTATGCATATGAGCATGTTTGCATTTTTTGCCTGAATAAAATGTTGACATCTTCATAAGATTCTGAGAATATTTATTTTCTTCCAAAAGAAAAATTCTGAGCATCTGTAATTTAAATAAAACAATAACAAAAGCACTCCTCCATCTATGGTGATGTGCAGTCAAAATTGAAAACAGCTGCTCTAAAAGAGAAAATCATCTTTAAAATAGCCATTTAAAATACGGCTAACTGTGTCATGTCTCTGCCATCTTTGTTAGTATAGAACGTTGCAAGTAGAGTCATCTCCAAGATACCCAGGAGGTATCAGCCATACACTGTTGCAGACACCGCTGACAAGGAACGAGCTTCTTTCTGCTTTGGTCCTAGATACGTGGAAGAGTTTTCAGCTTCCTAGTTTGCATTAAATTTCCAGAATACATCATGGTAAGAAGGGAACTTGGAATTCTAGCTAAGATACCTAATAGCTGGGGAGCTTGGACAAGTCACTTCCTCTTTTGAATCTTTGTTTTTATATCCTTACAGAGATCTGCTGAATAACAGCTTTTTTTTTTTTTTTTTTTGAGACAGAGTCTCGCTCTGTTGCCCAGGATGGAGTGCAGTGGCTCGATCTCGGCTCACTGCAAGCTCCTCCTCCTGGGTTCGTGCCATTCTCCTGCCTCAGCTTCCCAAGTAGCTGGGACTACAGGCGCCCACCACCACGCCTGGCTAATTTTTGTATTTTTAATAGAGACGGGGTTTCACTGTGTTAGCCAGGATGATCTCGATCTCCTGACCTCGTGTTCGGCCCACCTCGGCCTCCCAAAGTGCTGGGATTACAGGCGTGAGCCACCGCGCCCAGCCTGAATAAAGGCTTTTTGACAATGGTCCAGGCAGCCCTAGGTTTTAGATATGTTTTTCTACAGTTATAGAAGGGCACTCTTATCCTGGCATTGATGAGAACAGTATCACATGTGTTGGCCTTATGTATTTAAGTTTTAGGTAAGATTGTATTTGAAAAGTGAGCTCTAGTGCAAATAAAAACTTTGAAAACTATTAAATGAAATGAGCCTTAAGGAGTCTTTTAACTTTTTAAGAAATATTACGTTTTACAGCACCTCTTCTTTAGTTTCACCCATGGAAGCACCAGATGAAGAACCTTCCCAGAGAACAATGTGTGTGACATGTCCATCCATTCTGCCTTCTCCTAAGAGTTTGGACAGCTAATCCGTTCACCGTCTAAAGGAGGGAAGGTAGAGGGTTAGATTCTGCTGCTGGATCTTTTTTATTAAACAATTGTCATATAACTGTGGTTCTCATGGATAAAACCACTCTCTCAAAATTAGGAAAAATCAAAATCTGTCTTTCATGAATTTACTTTCTCTTTCCACATATAATACTCTCAGTTGTCAGAACCACCAGGCCTCTAGATATGAAGATTTTCAGTGAGATTAAATAATGTAATGGAAGGGGTTAGGGAATCTGTCGGCCCCCCAACCCCACCCCACCCAACCTTGTCACTTTTGACGCTATGTGTTCACAGCTGCCTTGAGGGCCTACACTACGGATACCGCATGTCCTTAAGGTTACTTTTATGCTTTTATCTTTTTGACCTTTTGATACAAGACAGGAATTTATCTTTAATATTTTTAAAGAATATTAAAAATCATTCTTTTAGTACTTCTCACCTTTCTTTCCTTCTTCTCTTCTCTTTTTAAACAGCTTTGTTGAGATATAATTCAAATGCCATACAATTCACCCATTTAAAATATATAATTGGGAGGTTAAAGTATACAATTGAGAGGTTTTTAGTATATCTGCAGATATGTGCAACAATCACCACATATCTGCAACCACCACCACTCAATTTTAGAACATTTTTATCACCTCAAAAAGAAACTTTGTACCCTTTAAATACAACCCCCCATCCCTCACTCCAACTTCCAGCCCTATGCAACCAAGTTAACTTTAATCCATCCCTATAGATTGCCTATTTTCAACATTATGTGAATAGAATCATATGATATGTGGCCTTTTGTGACTTTCTCCTTTCACATCATATAGTGCTTTTTACAGTTGATTCATGTTGTAGCATGCATCAGTATTAGATTTCATTAGCCAAATAATCCCATTATATAAATATATGATATTTTGTTTATCCATTTATCAGTTAATAAACATTTGGGCTGTTTCCATCTTTCAGCAATTATGAACAATGTTACTTTCAACATTTGGGTACATGTTTGTGTGTCAATGTATGTTTTCATTTATCTCAGGCATATACCTAGGAGTAAAATTGATATATTATATAACACCATGTTTGATAAATTGACTTTTTAATAGCTAGACTGTTTTCCAAAGTGGTTGCACCATTTTACATTCTGACCAGCAGCGTAAGAAGGTTCTGATTTCTCCACATCCTCACCAAAACTTTTTGTAATCTGACTTGTTCATTCCAGCTGTCCTAATGATTGTGAAGGAGTGTCTCGTTGTGATTTTGATTTGCTGTTCCTGAATGATGACTAATTAAAATGGGCATCTGTTTATGTGCTTATTTACCATTTCTTATTTCTTTTTGGAGAAACAGCTTTCTATTCAGATGCTTTGACCATTTTTAGCTGGGTTACTTGCTTTTTCATTACTGATTTGTAAGAGCTCATTATATATTTTGGATACAAGTCCATTATTAGATATCTGATTTGAAAAAAAATTCTCCAATTCTGTAGGTTTTATTTTTCAGTTTCTTGACAATATGCTTTGAAGGACTAAGTTTTTAATATTGATGAAGTTCAATTTATCTATTTTTGATGCTCATGTTTTTGGTGTCATATCTAAGAATCATTTACCAAATTCAATGTCATGTGTATTTAGCCCTGTTTTCTACTAATAGCTCTAGAGTTTTAGCTCCCACATTTAGTTCTTGATTGATTTTAGTTTTTGTATAGTATGCAAAGTAAGGGTCCATCTTCATTCTTTTTATTTTGCATGTGACTATCCCGTTGTCCCATTACTATGTTGAAAAGGCTAGTCTTTTCCAAATAATAGTCTTGCTGCCCTTGTTGAAAATCAATTGACCGTTCATATACGGATTTATTTTTGGACTCTCAATTCTATTCCACGTATCTATATGTCTATCTTTACACCAGTTAAAGATAGACATTTAATTTAATTATTTAAATTAAAATAGTACATCAGAATTTTTTCTTTCCTTTTCTTTTCTTTTTTTTTTTTTGAGGCTGAGTTTTGCTCTTGTTGCCCAGGCTGGAGTGCAATGGTGCAATCTCGGCTCACCACAACCTCTGCCCACTGGGTTCAAGCAATTTTCTTGCCTCAGCCTCCCAAGTAGTTGGGATTACAGGCATGTGCCACCACATCTGGCTAATTTTGTATTTTTAGTAGAGATGGGGTTTCTCCACGTTGGTCAGGCTGGTCTCAAACTCCCAACCTCAGGTGATTTGCCCACCTCGGCCTCCGAAAGTGCCAGAAAATATTTTCTTAATGCAAATACTTTCTTCGTGCATACTTTCTTGATTGTCATTGCTTAGTAGAAAGTTTTGAAATCAGAAAGCCTGAGTCCTCCCACATCATTCTTTTTTAGGATTGTTTTAGCTATTCCAGGTCCCTTGTCAAGTCCATTTGAATTTAAAATCACCTTTTAAATTTTTGCAAAGAAGTTAACTGGGATTCTGATAGTGATTATGTCAAAAGTTGTAGAATGTTTGGAAAAGTATTGCCATCTTAACAAGGTTAATTCTTCTAACCCATGTATTTTATTTAAATTTTTATTGACTTTTAAATAATGTTTTTGTATTATTTGATTATAAGTTTTGAACATCTTTTGTTAAATTTAATCTTAAATATTTTATTCATTTTGATACTATTGTGAATTAAATTGTTTTTCTAATTTCATTTTCAGATTGTGTCTTTCAGATGTATAGAAATACAATAGATAAATAATTCTGGCCATTAACCTTTTATGCTTCAACCTTGCTGAACACTTTTTTTTTCTTTTCTTTTTTTTTTTTTTTTTTTGAGACAGGGTTTCACTCTTATTGCCCAGGCTGGAGTGCAACGGCACAATCTCAGCTCACCACAACCTCCGCCTGCTGGGTTCAAGCAATTCTTCTGCCTCAGCCTGACAAGTAGCTGAGATTACAGGCATGCGCCACCACACCTAATTTTGTATTTTTAGTAGAGACAAGTTTTCTCCATGTTGGTCAGGCTGGTGTCGAACTCCTGACCTCAGGTAATCCGCCTGCCTGGGCCTTTCAAAGTGCTGGGATTATAAGCCACATTTTTAATTCTTAGTTTTTCAGTAGATTCTTGAAATTCTTAATATAGAAGATTATGTATTTTTGGTTTCTCTATTCCTCCTTTACTGGTTTATTTGCATTAAGAAAATATTTTCTGGCACTTTCAGAGGCCGAGGCAGGTGGATTACCTGAGGTTGGGAGTTTGAGACCAGCCTGACCAACATGGAGAAACCCCGTCTCTACTAAAAATACAAAATTAGCCAGACGTGGTGGTGTATGCCTGTAATCCCAGCTACTTGGGAGGCTGAGGCAAGAGAATAGCGTGAACCCAGGAGGCGGAAGTTGTGGTGAGCTGAGATTGCACAATTGTACTCCAGCCTGGGCAACAAAAGCAAAACTCAGTCTCAAAAAAAAAAAAAAAAAAGAAAGAAAGAAAAGAAAAAAACTCTGATGTACTATTTTAATTTAATTAATGATATTTGATATTTCCCCTCCAGTTTTTTAGTTCTTTTTTTAGTGGTTGCTCTAGGTTTTACCACATACATCTTATCAGAATCACCCTCATATTTGTAATAGCCCAATTCAAGTGTAATCTAATACTACTGTCTATTCCCTTTTCTACCTATGGTATTACTTTTATGTATATTACAGCTATTAATGTTGCAAACTCAACAATACATTGTTATAATTATTATTTTAGCATCTGCAGTCATTTCTTAGCTTATTGAAGTTTTGCTTTCACTTGTCCTCTTTGTGGTATTACTGGCAAATACCTTAACATAGATTACATTTTTATATGTTGGAAGCTAAACAATATTTATATACATGTTATTTTATACAATCGATTTTTAAATCAGTTAAGTGAAGAAAAGCATACATTTTTACTGTCTTTTATATTACATAATAACTTTTATCATTTTGTGTGTGTTTGTATTATAATTACCATCTGGGCTCCTTTGCTTTCAGTCTGAAGAACTTCCTCTAGTTTTTCTTGTAAGGTCTGCTAGAAATAAATTATTTCAGCTTTTGTTTATCTGGAAAAGAATTTTGCATTTCGCTTTCATTTCTGAAAGAGAGCTTTGCTGAATAGAGGATTATTCATGCACAGAATATTTCTTTGAACATTTTGAATATGTTATCCCACTGCTTTCTATTGTTTCTGCAGAGATGTCAGCTGTTAATCTTATTGAGGTTCCCGTGTAAGTGATGCATTTTCTCTTGCTACTTTCAAGATATTCTCCCTAGCTTTGACTTTCAGCATTTTTAGTACAATATGTCTATTTGTGGGTCTCTTTACATTTGTTCTACTTGGATTTTGTTGAGCTTCCTGGATGTGTAAGTTATTGTTGTATAATAAATTTGGGAATTTTTCAGCCATTATTTCTTTGAATATTTTTCTTCTCTTTTCTCTCTCTTCTTTCCTGGTACTCTCATTATGCATTTGTTGGTGCACTTAATTTTCTCTGACATTTCTCTGAGGTTTTTATTTCATTTTTCTTCACCATTTTTGTTCAATTGGCTTGGCTTACATAGTCTCTACGGACCTATCTTTAAATCAGTTAATTCTTTCTTTGGCCAGGCCAAATCTATTGTTGAGCCTCTCTAGTATTTTTTTTATTTCAGCAATTATACTTTTAAAGACAAGAATTTTCATTTTTAAAAATAATTTTCCTTTACTAATATTGTATTTGTTCATTCTTGCATTCTTATAAAGGACTACCTGAGACTGGGTAATTTATAAAGAAAAGAGGTTTAATGGGCTCATGGTTCCACAGGCTGTACAGGAAGCATGACTAGGGACACCTCAGGAAACTTACAATCATGGCAGAAGATGAAGAGGAAGCAGTCATGTCCTGCATGACTGGAGCAGGAGAAAGGGGTGAGGAGGTGACACACACTTTTAAACAACCAGATCTCATGAGACCTCACTCAATATCATGAGAAAAGCAAGGGGGACATCCGCTTACATGATCCAGTCATCTCTCACCTGGCCCCAGCTCCAACATCAGGGATTATAATTTGACATAAGCTTTGGGTGGGGACACAAATAAAAAGCACATCAGATATTTTCTCTTTGGTGTGATATTGTTATCCTAGCTTTCCTTATTTTTTATTAGGCTTTTTTTTAGTTCTCTGAATATATTATAATGGCTACTTAGAAATCTTTCTTTAAGTCCAATATCTTACTCTTTCACAGGCAGTTTCTGTTACTTACATTTTTCATATGTGTAAGTCATAATGTCTTGTTCCTTTGTATGCCTCATAATTTTTTAATTTACTTATTTATTTATTTATTTAACAAAACCATGGTTTAGGGCTTATGGAGGCTACAAGATTTACAACTTTCCCAATTGCTCCTACAGATAGCATCACTATTGTAAAACCTATGATTGGTGTTTGAGGTATTTTTCAGACCCTTAATTCTGATGCACAAGCTGGTGCCACTTGGAGCAGTAAACCATACCGAGAAACTGACTCACCTGATCTTGTGATGCCCCCAACCCAGGAACTGACTCAGCAGAATATGAGAGCTTTGACCCCTTATTATTTTATCCCTGACCTAGCCAATTAGCCTTCTCCATCCCCTAGTGCCCTGCCTGCCAAACTATACTTGAAAAACCCTCACCTCAGAATTCTCCAGGAGGCAGATTTGACAAATATTTCCTGTCCCTCTGCTTGGCTGACCCTGCCATTATTTAACTCTTTCTTTGCTACAAAACCTTCTGCTCTCAGTGCATTGGCTTTCCTGGGCAGTAGACAAGAAGAGTCTATTGAGTTGTTACAAACCTATGGCTTTAGTTGTTACCTATGTGCTGATGAATCACAACTTTTTATTTCCAGATCAGACCTTTCCTTTGATCTCCAGACCCAAATATTTAACTGTTTGTCTCATCACTTCCAATTCAACATGATCAAGTCCTAACTCGTGACCTTGCTTCTACTCCCCCCAATAAATATCTAGACCTTGGAAAGTCTTTCTACTGCAGTGAATAGTTTCTTTGTAAGTATGCAATTCTTACCTCCTATTCCCTCAGTCCTTCACTATGTTTAAAATCAAGTTCTACTTATTTTATCTCAGCTGTGAATATCTCAAATGTATTCACTTCTCTACATTTTTTTCCTGCCACTCTGGAGTGTTACATCTTCCCTGTACAATAGCCATTGTGTTAGTTTGCTAGGGCTGCTATAGCAAAATACTACAGACTAGATGGCCTAAACAAGAGAGATTTATTTTCTCACAGTTCTGAAGGCTAGAAGTCCAACATCAAGGTGTTGGTAGGCTTAGTTTCCTCTGAAGCTTCTCTCCTTGGCTTGGAGGTGGCGCTCTTCTCTCTGTAACCTCACATGGTCATCCCTAGTGTCTCACATGCATTCCTAATGTCTTGTCTTGTTTCCAAATTTGCCATTCTTATAAATATCCAAGTCAAATTGAATTAGACCCTATCCTAACAAGCTCATTTTAACTTACTGCTTTAGAAGTCCTGTCTCCAAATACAGTCACATTCTGAGGTACTGGGGGTTAGGGCTTCAACATATCAATTTTGAGGGGACACAGTTCAGCCCATAACAGCTAGCTAGCCCATGTCCCACTCTATTCCACCTGTCAACCCACCTCCACCAGTCTGTACTCCAAGTTGTAGTCAGGGTGATCTTTAAGGAAATGGAAATTTAATGAACAATGGATGCACATAGAGCCTTTCCATGGTTTCTATTTACCTTAGGATCAAAATATAACCCTCAGCGAGACTTACAAATGTGCCAGTATAGCAGTACCATTCTTAATATAGTCAACTCTGAAGTTTGACTGTTAGATTAAAATCCTGGTTTACCTATTGACCAGTCCTTAACTTGATAAGTTAGTTATTTGTCTTAGCTTAAATTTTTCATCTAAAAAGCAAAGTTTTTCTTTTATTGTATGTTAATATTATTTTTGAAAATTTCTTGGCACTGGTTAAATAACATAATCCGTGTAAGGTGCTTAGCACAGAGTAAAAGTTTTAAAACAGTCATTTATTATTATTTAGTTCTATATGTACTTGCTTATATTTTTATCTTATATCTTTTTCCTCTTTATTTCTGCCATTCTACCATATTCACCTTATTTTAATTCTTAGAAAGATATGCCAGAATACATTATTTTTGCTTATTTCAGAATGTCATGTAAATGGAATCATATGGCATATAACCTTTCGAGACTGGGTTCTTTCATTTAGCATAATGCATTTAAGATTCAGCCAAGTTGTCACATGTATAAATAGTTTGTTCATTTGCATATCTGGGTAGTATGTCATTGTCATTTGTACCACAGTTTGTTTATTCATTTACCCACTGAAGGCCATTTGGTGTGTTTTCAGTTTCTGGTGATTATACATAATATTACTAAAAGCATCTGTGTACAGGGTTTTGTGTGAGCAGAAGCTTTTATTGCTCTAGTATAATTACCTAGAATTAGGACTGCTGGGTCATATGGTAGGTATGGATGTAACTATGTGGGAAACTGCCAAACTTTTCTGAACTGACTACTATACCATTTTTTACTCCCACCAGCAAGGTATTTTTTCAAGTCATTCTAATATGTGTAATGGTATCTCACTGTGGTTTAAATTTGAATTTCCCTAATGACTAATGTTGAGCATATGACATTCATTTGCCATCTATAACTTCTTTGGTGAATCGTCTATCCAAATATTTTGACATTTTTATTGGGTCCCTTTTATTGTGGAGATTTTATAATTCTTTATATATTTTGATATATGTTGCAGGTATTTTTTTCCCAATTTGTGGCTTATTTTCTAACAGGGTCTTTAAAAGAGCAAAGGTTTTTAGTTTTGATGATTTTGATTCCATTTTATCATTTTTAAAAATCAATCATTATTTTGGTGTTGTCTCTAAGAGCTCTTTGCCTACCCAAGGTCATGAGGCTTTCCTGCTATGTTTTTCTCTAAGGGTCCAATTATGTTTTAATCTTAATTATTCATTACTCTTCAGGTCATATGTCACTCTCTCAAGGAAGCCCTCTCTGACTACACAGACAAGATGAGATTCCTGTGTTATACATCTTTAGAGTGTTTTTTACATTTCCTCCACATATATCCTAGTCTATAATTATACATGTTGTATGATTATTTGCTGTTGTATGGTAGACAACAGTGTCTACCAACACTGTTGACTATAGCTTCTTGGGGTCTGTTTCTGCTTACTATTATATCCTTAAGTATAGCACAGCTTATTTCACAGGAACTGAATGAATGCATGAAAAGAAGAATAAGCACATGTGTAGGTTGCACTATATACCATAGAGGACCGTATGGAAAGAAAGCTAGTGTTGCTGTCTCAAGTCCCTTGGCTACTCGAGCCCAAAAATTTCAGAGCCCAACAATATCAGAGCCCAACAATTTCAGAGCCCAACAATATCAGAAAGGAATGAGGTCAAACTGAAGTTTTTATCACATTTTTGCTCTAGGGCCCATTCTGGAGGATAAAACATGACAAAACCACAGAAGAAATGGGAGAAAGCTAACTTTTTTTAGAGCCTAATATGTCTCAGTCACTTCATGTGGGAAAAAAAAGCTGAGACTCAAGGGAGTTGGCCTTGACATTGACCAAGGTCACTATTCCAATAAATTGAGAAACTGGGACACAGCCTGAAACATCAATCTAATCCAAACTCAATACTTTCTTCTTATTCTGTGCTGCTTCTCCCTACCCCACCCCAGCCAATAAAGACATTTGGTTAATATATGCTTAACAGTTATCTTTCAAAAGCCTATGTTATCAGAATATACCAATCTAAAGGCCTATTAGATCCATCTCAAGAGGGCTGTGGATCATTATTTTTTCCTTTTAGATGTTCCTTGAAAAAATATATATATATATATATTTTTTTTTAGACAGAGTCTTACTCTGTCAGCCAGGCTGGAGTGCAGTGGCACAATCTCAGCTCACTGGAACCTCCGCCTCCCGGGCTCAAGCAATTCTCCTGCATCAGCCTCCCGAGTAGCTGGGATTACAGGCGTGTACCACCACGCTCAGCTAATTTTTGTATTTTTAGTAGAGATGGGATTTTACCATGTCAGTCAGGATGGTCTCGAACTCCTGGCCTCAGGTAATCCACCTGCCTAGGCCTCCCAAAGTGCTGGGATTACAGGCGTGAGCCACCACTTCTGGCCCAAAAAGATAAAATATCTTAATAGAAAGGGTATAATTTTCTATTGCCATACCTTCTAGGCTGTATGCTTCCATAGTCAATCTGAGTTATCTAATGATGGAAATATCTTGGAGTCATGGCAGAAGGTAAGACTGTGGAAAAGCTGCTTCAAATGATGAGAACATGTACAAACTCTTAAACCTTATATAAACTATTGAATCTTATATAAATTTGTTAAAATGTAATACCCACTTCATAGGATGATTGTGTGGAATAAGGTTATGAGGCACGTAAAGAAAAAGCATTAATGCATCACACATACAGAGCTAAGCAAATGAAAGTTTTCTTTACCCTTTCCTCAGGACAAAAGGGGCTAATTTTACTGATAAAACGGCTGTAAGAAAGGCTCACAGGATGGATAAATGAAGGACTGACTTGCTAGTCCCTCAGCCAATTTCTAACACATCATTGAGAATTTCTGCTAAGAAGCCTCACTTGTTACCATGAGGCTATAGCAAGTCCAGCAATGAGAAGGAAGCTTCCTTCTAAGGTTGAAAAGACATTATTGCTCAGGAGTCTTCAGGCCATTTCAGTGTTCCAAGCCCAAGTCTTATTTATATCCTAGGGAAGGGTAGAGACCATAGGTGTTTCTAGGTATGGTTTTCCAGGCAGGAGGTTCAAACACCAACTCAACCATGGCTCAGTTCTGTTCAGGGTCAAGTCCTCTTGAGAGGGAAAGATACACAAGTTCTCCATATTGTCTGCTTTGCAAACACTTAATGCTTGGGGGTACTATCTACAGTCTGGCATAAGCATTCTAAGCCAGTGCTTCTCAAACATTAGGTACACAAGAATTATCTGAGAATATTGTTAACAAGCAGATTCTTATTCAGACCAAGTCTGCATTTTTAACAAGCTCCTTGGATCACCCTTTGCATATCAAATCTCTAAGCCACTGATTCTTAAAGTTTAGTGAGCATCACAATCACTTGTAGGTTGTTAAAACAGATTGTTGGGCCCCATTCTCTGAGTATGTAATTCAATTGGTTTCAGACAGAGCCCCTGGATGTGCATTTCTAATGAGTTCTCAGTTAAGGCTGATATTGTTCTTTTAGAACCACTGCACTAAACCAGACACAAAAAGACCATCATAATGCATAATTTATTCATATGATTCACCTGAACTAATGTGCCTACACCTGTGCATTTTTCTGTCTTCCTGTGACCACTCTGCTTCTAATTCTACAATTTTTCTTACATCACCCTTGTCTTCTCTCTTCCACTTTAGTGCCTCAATTTTCTGACTACTTCAACTTCTAACTGAGAACTTCGTCTCCCTTGCCCAAAACCTACAATGTGGGAGGGACTGCAGAGAACATGGATACTAAATGGTGTGTTTCACTGGAAGACCATCTTTGCAAACTAGATACCATGTCGCTCCTCTGTCCTAACGAACTAGACTAGACAATATAATTCAATGAAGACACATCTCAAGAGAGAGTACCATCATATAGTCCTGAAGTTAAAGGTAGAAAGAACACCTAGAAAAAGAAAGAGTAGGCCAATTCCATCCTACCACCCACCAAGGGCCTTTGTTCCATCCCAATTTTTTAACATTGTTTTCTTCATTTTGTCAGTGATCACTGAGAGGCAAGATGGAGTGGGGTCAAACAACATATGTCCATTTATTGAATAAAAGTAAAAGTTGTTATTTTCCTTTAACCTGTCCCCCATCCACTGACCCCAGAAGGCTCCTCAAGTGCAGCCTACAACTTGCTCTGAAATTCCCAGACCTGTCACTGCAGCACCATATGGCTACTGGTAACTATTGAGGGAAGTGACAGACATTTCTACTCGAAGCCTTTAATGTGGAACCCCTCTGTTCTGTCAAATCTGTCTGCCCTTAACCTTTCAGTGAAAAGCATGTAGCTCTGTTGACAAGCACCTCCTGTAGAAGAAAAACTAAATTTACTCCTACTGCTCCAACTTCTACACTGTGGGTGCCCCATCCCTGAGGCCTCAGGATACAAAATTGGGTGCCATTTCAGGCATATATGCAGGTAGGCTTCTCTCAAATTGTGTGTACAAACTCAACTGGAGGAGGAATTCTCCGTATCAGAGAAGTATTTCAAAGTGCAATAATATTTAGCTCCCTGATTCCTCTTAACAATCTTAATTATTCTGCTCCCTGGAGAGTCAAACAGAGTTGGTAATTATAGAAAAGAAAGTGATAAAGATCAACAATTCATTTCCCCCCAAAACATTCTCAGACTAGCTGATTAAATCTTTACTAGGATCTCAGGCTTACAGTACCATAATACCAATCTTGAAGGGATTATATATTAATAAAACATATGTTAGTAATTCTATAAATAATTAACATTTTGAAATAAGTGACAAACCCCTATATTTCACCTTCTGTGTACCAAGCAGTGTTTTAAATGCCTAATGTATTATAATTATTTTAATTCTCAGAATTTAATAAATTTGTCACTATTATTAGTTCTATTTTGTAGAAAGATTAAGTACCTCACCAGGATCACACAACTATTGAGTGCTACAGGCAGTATTTAAACTCAGCCTCTCTGATTTATTATCTTGTGTATTTTACATCTCCCAAATCACATGCATGTCTTCTACCTGCTTTAGGAGGCAGCGAGTATTTTTACATTTTGCAGGTAAGGAAGGAAAGATTGGGAGAAGCTATATGATATCTCAGAGTTTTGTGCAGAACATTTCTGGAGTTAATTCAAGGCCTCTCCTTATACAACCACTTTAAGGGCACCTGGAGTTTTTAAATGCATGCCACCATCTCCTCTCTGGCACAGAACAGAAGTCATTTCCCAAACGTAGTTTTGTGTCCTTCTTACCCGCTCCCATCACCCTAACATTTGCCTCTCCAGTTGTAATTTTTGGTTTATTCATCTGTCTCCCACACTAGCTTGTAAATTCCTCTGGGGTAAGAGGTAATTTTCTCTTTCCCCCATCTTAAAGTGGTTTTCCTGGGTTGTAAACTGTATTAGAAAAGATTGCATTTTCAGCAACTAAGTCTAGTGGAGACAGTGGAACTCTAGGGTCAGCTGAATCTGGGTGAAATTGTAACTTTTGCAATTTGATATTTCAGTGGTTTGGACTAGAGCCAGACAGGTTATTTTTCCAAATAGGCCACGTCCAGGTAGTTCCTGATATTTTAAGCATCATGATGAGAGTGTCAAGTAATATGTTACATCCTAGACTTAAAAATCTCAATAACTGCAGAGCAGATGTGAACTTTTTCTTTCCTCACACTTCCAGGCTCAAGAGCATGGATGCCAAATCTATACTCTCTGGTTGAAATGGAAATGTGTGGGGATTGGCCTAAGTTTAATTAATGAAAACAGCACAAAAAGAACATGTAAATATTTACGACAACTAAAATTGTAAAGTGTGGTTTAGAGTTGGGGATAGGCTGGCTTTCAGTGAGGTCAGATGGTGGAAGAGAAGCCCAGAGAGGAGAGGCAAGGGCCACTCACACTGTCTCTCCCTTCTCTGGATCTTCCTTCCTCTTGGGTCACCATCTTTACACTCAAAACACAGAGACTGCAGAAGTCACCGTGTGCAGTGATTAAGCATGATTAATTCCACATCTTATTCACTGGACTGTAGAAAATGTTGCGCATTTAAGTCTGGCTCAACATGTCACCACTTAATACAAGTCAATTCTTCCTTCACAGTTGAGTCACAGAGTAAAAGACTTGTGAGCACAGGACAAATTAACAGAAAAAAAAAAGATTTATGATTTTTAATGGTGAAAAGAAAGATAAGAGCTCATTGAGGCAAGTGGAAAAGAGACAGCTGTAGGCAGCTGTGGGCATCCTGCCAGTTCCAAGACCAGAAGAAAACTGTTCCAGAGAAGGGTCTGCCAGACCAACAGTGAAAGCCAGGGATGGCACCATTGACAATGTGTGCAGATCACTCTTCTACTCTCCACAGTTGTACTCCTTAAGTTCAGTATGTTGACATTTGACCAGCCTCATCTGTCTCACATCTCTAAAACACACACACACACAGGTGTGAGCCTTCAGCTTGATGGAGGAAGACAGAGAGCAACTGAAGTTTATTTGACACAAGTAGAAGAGATTGAGCCTCTCTTCAGCAGAGTAAGGTCCATTTATGGGGAACTGTGGTGACCTGCTGCTTGTAGAAGTTTTCCCTTAATTGCTGAGATCCTGGGTCTTCTACTGGAAGATAATGAATGGGTTTGTGGCCCAACATTTGTCTCCAGTTAAGCCTTGGGTAGACGACAAGGGTAACCTAAAAGCAAGGTTGATTCTTGCTTGTGTACACAGGAAGCACAGTTGCTCTGACCAAAGGTAGTGGCAAAAATGTCTCCACACATAGGTATTTTTCTCAGTGGTGCTGGCTCCTCCAAAGTCAAAGAGGGTACATTGGGTGGGTGAGCTCCCGATGTTCTGACCTAGGTGAGACTAGAAGAATCCCCTAAAACTGTAGGGCATTTTCTCCTATGACTGCAACAGATGTGCTCTGGCCATAAGCTCTCCACATGCTCTGAATGTTGCCGGGAACAGTAGTATCTCCCAGCACAGGTGTGGTGCTGACTGTTCCTATTCACTACCTGTGCTCTGGATAGGTGAGCCCCGGGTGCTCTAAGTGTACGCAAGAATAGTGGTACCTTCAAGCATAGGTACACTGTCAGATATGTTCTACTCAGGCATTAGCCAGGGATCCCCAGGTATTCCAACAAAAAGTGGGAAGATAAGTATTTCCAAATACCGGTATGGTGGTGTCCCTTCTAGCTGTAGATGTGCTCTGATCACAAATGTCCCCAGTGATCTGCGACAAGGAGAAACAGCATTGTCTCCTCTGGCACCTGTTTTTTCTTAGTGTTATTGTCTTCTCCCATAGTAACTGGTATGCTTTGAATGATAGGGAAGGGGCTTCTGACCATAAGCAGGAAGAAAACGGTCCCCCAGGGCAGATTTGCTTTCTGTAGAGTTGGCCTTTCCAGCTGTAACAGGGGATAGAACATGATGCTCAAGTTAAGACTCATCAACAAGAGTAGTAGTGCTGGGTGTCCTCCTCAGTCCTCAAGCAAGCTGAGTGCTCCAGATGCAGAGCTGGAGCATGAGGCAGCCACGCTTACCCCAAAGCTGCCACTACCCACAGGGGATATGGATCCTGTAAAAGTAAATGGGTCTGCAGTGGTGTTGGCTAAAGGCGACTGCTAGGCATCCTGATTAGACTCTAGAGCTAGAAGTAGTAACTAAGCCAATGGGGAAAATATCTGGGATGTCATCAAATGCCAGCTAGGTAATGTCAGGGATGCCAAAGGTGGAATATTGGGAAGGCAAACCCTCAGATGGAGTTATGTGACCAGTAGGGGGCTGTGCTGCAAGGAGGTTAAGTCTGAAGCTTTTGTTGAGAAAGAGCCATCACAGCTGGTGGCTTCAGGCTGCAACTTACTAGGGAACCCAACTCTGGACTGAGAGGTGGCTCCTGGAGCAAAGGAAAAGCTAAAACTTGCAGCTGAGCCACTGACTGACTGTACAGGCAGCGGGTGGGTGCTAAGGCGGAAGTAATGCTGATACTGGGTGGAATGTTCTCAGAACAAGGAAGCACCATGGAAAACGGAAAGAAGCTCTCACTGAAGACTGCAGAAGATATGATGGGAAAAGGGAAATCTGGGGAGGGGGCATGGTATGTATATCAGTTCCATCAGCATCAAAGGCAGGCTTGGATGTAGAATCTACAGAGGTGCTGACTACTGGAGTGGAGGCTTCTGGAAAGCTGTGCTAGGTAGGCCAGTACAGATAGGGTCACTGGGGAGAATGACTCCTGACTAGCCCCCATCAGGGAACCCAAATATGGGCTGAAGGGTGACTCCTGCGCCAAAGAAAAGGCTGAAAGTTGGGGTGGGGCTGTTGACCATGAATGCATATAAGCTGGGGATATCTGCTCCACATTACAAATGACCTGGTCAAATGGGAGGGAGCCCAAGTTCATCCCAGAGCCTGAAGGAGACCCGAAGAAGCAGCTTAGCGGGGAATGGCGTTCATGCTAGTCACACCAATGTCCAAAGCTGACTGGTGGGTCAAATTTGCAGATGCGCTGGCTGCAGGGGTAGAAGTGACTGGGAAAGCAGAGATGGAATGGCTGGTAAAGTAGGGGATACTGGCAGAAGTCTGGTGGAGGGGTCTGCATGAGTAAGGTGGAGAATCCACACACATAGGTGTAGGTGACTCTTTGCTGTCAAAGACTTGAAGGAAGGGTTGAGGTGCTAGAAGGTACAGGGAAGTCAAAATCAGAAGACCCAGCATGTATAACTGGAAAGATATGAATGCAAAGGGCTTCGATGCTTGTTCCTAAGTGAATTTCCCAAATATGGGCTTGAACTTAAAGAAAGAGATCCACGGGGAGAACAAGAGAAGGAAAGTTAGGAATTGTGCATTTTATTACACAATCGATATCTGGTGTGGGGGTAGGTAGAGAGGCAGACAGGATTGGGGCCTGGCAAGCAGGTCAGGCAAGTCAGTAATTGAGAATGTGCCTACAGCTGGAATCTGCAAATGAAAGTGGCTGAGGGCAGGGAGTGTGCAGTCTCTTCTGAAGACAGAGAGAAAGCACAGGGGGTCTGAGTGGCACTGTAGTCCAAGATGGACTGTTTTATCCTCCAAGGGGATAATTTTCCATTGGTACTCAGCTTTCTTCTCGAAGCTCAGGTGCCAGCAACAATTATACAAAAACACTTACGGCAAAGGAGCAGTGGCAGACAGCAGCAGCCCGGGCAGCATTAACAGCCTTGACATTTTCCATTTACAAGGCCTTCAACTCAAGATGTGGGTGGAGAATTCTTCCTTGATGGAGTCTTTGTTTAGGGTTTCAATTTCTTCCTGGTTCAAACTTGGGAGGTTTTATGTTTCCAGGAATTTATCCATTTCTTCTAGGTTTTCTAGTTTGTATGCATAGAGATCTTCATAATCATCTCTGAGGGTTTTTACCTTGACCGTGTCTTTGGAAGCTTTTTCTCTGCATCTTCTTCCCTGGCTCAGCAAGGCTGGGGAGCTGGACCCATGGCCGCTTCTAGCACTTCCTGTGCCCATCTCTTGAGCAGCAGGCAGCACGATGCCATAGGCAGAGAGCCCTGCTGCACCTGGATCACTCTGCAAATGCGCAGAACACCACCAGCAGGGCTGTATGAGCTGGTGATGGGGCCGCCTTTGGTGAAGGAGCTCCTGGGTCCACAGTCTTCATCCAGCACTCCTTTCTTACCAACGCCGTCTTCTGGGAATTTGGAATTGAGATTTCCCGTCAGAGGCTCAAAATTACGCTGAAGAAAGTGAGGACTCCGGTGGTGTCCAGAGGCCTAAATGATAATGGTACACTCCCACTGTATGTGGGACCGCTTCTCTTACCGTCCTCCTGTTTTGCTAGGCCTTCCTGGCACTCTCCTAGGGCTCTCAGCTCATTTTTGAATGGTCAAAAATGTGTGGGTGGGGGATCCTGGATGGCAGTTCACCAGGCAAAGACAGTCAAGTCCATTCGTGCCCTGGAGGAGGAATCTTGATTGTTTCTGAGTGGCAAAGAATCTTGTTGCCAACAAACAGCGCTGGCTTCTTGTGAGAGAGGCGCCAAGACACCAAAGGAAGGCTCCGCGGAGAGGAGCACTGAGCCTGCTGCATGGGACACTGCTCTCAGGGGTGAAGCCAAACCTAGAACCTGTAGACTCAGGACCCTGGTTTAACAGTTGGTGAACGGGCCGAGGGCAGGCTCGGCTCAGGGCAGCGGGGTGATGCGGGCCAGACCGCGGAACACAGCAAGCAAGGAGAAGGCACGGCAGAGGCGCAGCTTACTGGGGAGGTCACAAGAGCAGTTTGCGCCTTCCGCGGCTCTCGGAGTGCTGAGGGAAACTCGCAGAGGTATCCCAGCTGCCCTCTCCTCCTCCGAGGCCAGCATGCACTGTCTGTCGCATGCTTGTGACGCACCACTGGACGCATGACATAGAGCGCGCCAGCAAAGGGCACGAAGAAAATGCGCCAAGGGTCAAAGGCACGGGCGAGGCCCAGCCCTGGGCCTGTGGAGCCCTCATCAAGCAGGTCCCTCAGACTCCTGCCTGCCGCCGCCAATCAGGCAACACCAGCCTTCCTTTTGGATGATGGAAACAGTTCTATCTTATTTAAGTTGGTGCTTACGTTTGTTAGAACTTGCCGAACTGAGGATCGCTTGAGCCTGGGAATTTGAGGCTGCAATGAGGTATGAACACGCAGGTGAATTGCCATTGCACTCCAGCCTGGTAGGTATAGTGAGACCCTGTCTCAACAAACAAAAAACGTACCGACTGTATACAGCAAATGGGTGCCTTTATTTTATGTAAAATTTACCATTAAAGGGTTAATTTGAAAAACATTTGATGCAGGAGATGCAGCCTATCATTTCAAAATCATTGGTTTATGGGTAGATTTGTTACACAGATGAAACTGACAAAAATACAGCAAACAAGGGTAAAGCCTGTTGATAACTGTTCTGGGTTTATAAGACATTTTAGAAGATTCAGTCAGAAAAGATTAATGCCCATGTAGTGGCATGGCAGGCAATGGGAAGAGAGGATAGCTAGGCAAGACAAGGAAAACAACACAGCAAGTGGAAGAGGTTTTGTGAACATATACACCAAGGTGGCTGGCCCTTCTCAGAGCATCCACTCCTACATCCACGGAGAAGGCTATGGAGAATAACATCCCAACTCCTGATACACATGCTTAGACGGAGGGGTCCTGACTCAGGCTAGATTAATCTAATTTCTTTCTAGATTGAGCTAATCAGCACACAGAGATAACAGTTCAGTTCTTAGAGAGAATCACTTATGGGTGGGGCTGTCTTGGCTTCTTTAAGCTAGCAAGTCCCTGGACACTAGTTTACCAAGATACCCTCCCTACCACCACCAATACTGATAGGTCAGGGCTCAGGACACTGTCTCCTCCAGATTGACAACGTGCTAAAACAAACCAAAATCAATATTCTCCAGAAGAGTTTTTAAAGGACCCAGGGTCTCATAGCATATTATTCAAAATATCCAGGACATAATCCCAAATTACTCATTATACAATGAATTAGCAAAATCTAATATTCAGCAGGTGCACACCCTGAGATGACACAACTGCTAAAATTATGAAAAAAGACTTTAGAGAAGCTATCATATTTGATAAACCAAGCTGGTTAAGAAAAAAAACAAATAAGGAAGCCACCATAACTATGTTCCATGATGTAAAGATGATAATTGTTAGAAAAAATGGAAAAATAAAACTTCCCAACGAAGAAACAGTATTAATGGCTATAATTCATGGTTTATTTTACCCTCCTTAATGGCACAGTTAGACTTCATTTCCCAGCCTTCCTCCTTACAGTTAGATGTGACTGTGCAACTAAGTGGGAACTAAATAATGGGTAGATATAGGCAAATGAAGGATAAGAAATTACTTAGTGGGTACAATATACACTATTTGAGTGATGTATGCTAAAATCCCAGACTTTACCATGATGCAATATATCCATGTAACAAAACTGCATTTGTACCCCCTAAATCTATACATGCAAAAAATAAGATAAATGGCAAATTTAAGCATGCTTTCTTGAAGAAAAATGATTTGAATAATACAGTAGATATGCTTGATTCAATAAATATTGATCTTTTTATTTTACAAAGAACACAATTTTTAAAAAGCTTGAATTATTAAAAAGAACTGATGATGCATTAGGCCTGATAATTTCCAAGTAGATTAAAATAAACCTGTGTACTGAAGAAAATGTCAAGATGTTGTTAATTAAATAGTAAGTGAAAAAGAAGAGCGAAAACATCTATTATCCTGGAACATTTTTTAAATCATTTTAAATAATTAAGTTAAATTTGAAATCAAATAGAAATTAAAACTGGTTTTAAATTGATAAAAATAACTGTACTATATATAAACAACCAAAATGACATATTCACTAGGAAAAGAATATAAAAAGTGAAGTAACTATTTTTTAGCTTAATAAGATAGAAAAATAGCAACAAAATGAACAACAAATATTAGATGATGGAAATTAGTGGTAAAATATTAGCAAAAAATAACAAAATGGAAAATAAAAGGTAGAATTGATCAACAATATCAAAAGTTCCTTTTCTGAAAATCAAAAACTTCAATAGAAAAAGATTTGATAGAACCAATCAACATGTATAATGGACAAGAAAATAGTATCCCGAATGCCTAAAGTATACCAAACAATCTTGCAGAAAATAGGCAAAGGATATCAACAAAGAATTTATAAAAGAAAATAAAAAGGAGAGATATATTTATCATTAGATTATCAAATATTTAAAAAGTATTTATAATATAAAGAGATAGTATGGTAAAAAATAATACTCATAGCTGAATTTTAGATTTCCATTTTGTGTTAATTAAAAATGAAATTCACAGTTTAGTTCTTTCAAATCTACTGTATACTCCTAAAGAAACAGATCCACATGGAGGAATGCAAAATTATTTAGGGCAGCATTGCTTATGATAAAATATTTTGAAATTTTTATAAAAATCCACTGATGGAACAACATTGAATAAACTATGATATATCTTTATCATGGAATGCTTTGCTACAGATACAAATAAAGTTTATGATATCTATATATTAACATGAACACATTTTAAATGAAATACTGCTGAATGACATACCATCCATTCCTTCAGAAAACTTTCTCTTATCACCTAATATTGTGTTATATGTGGTTCTTATGTGCTATCTCCTTTTAGCTCCATCTATGTTGAAATCTGTTACTTGTCCAGTTATTTCAATGGACTGTTAATTTCATGGTTGTAAACACTAATCTATGTTGCTTATGAAGGCTTAGATTTTGATCCTCACTCAATCTTTCAACTAGCTTCAGTTTCTTCTCTCCTGATTGGCCTTCTTCACAGTCCAGCCACCAGGGCACCACATACCTCTGTGGGAATCATGGAGAGATCATCAGGTGGGACCTCAGAATTTCCTTCCTAATCAGGACAATGGCCACAGAAACCCACAGATTTAACACAATGGTCATTAGCTTTTAAGAGCACATACAGAGTTGATTCAAGAACAGGGTCACAGTGCTCCTTCTCAGAGGGAAACTACTTCTCTTGTGGACAGCTCAACTTGTGTCCTGGATCACAGAATGTTACCTGATCTGAGTTCCTCTTCCAATCAGGTCACTGAAACCTCAATTCAGTACAGCCTGGAGTTCATTATAATAAAGACTAAGCCTCTTTCCCTTAAGGAAATCTTGCCAATTAATAAATAGCAATTTATTTTTATTAAGCTACAGATTTGAAAAGCACAGGAAAGTTGCATTTTTGAGTCTCTACAGCATGACAGATGCTGAGCTATGCATTTTACCTACTTCACAGAATTTAAGAACCCTACGAGACAGGTCATCCTCATTTTAAGTGGAAGTCTGCAGCACAGAGGTTAAATGGTTTTTTCAGGGACACATTACTATTATTGATCAGATTCATAATTTAAACTCAGAGCTATCTAATTCCAAAGCCTGTGATTTCTTCACCAGATACTAAGATCTATGTACAACTAAAAGACAAGGATATGTCTAGGACCTTGCTACTCAAAGTATGGTCTGAGGAATGTTGGCATCATCTGGAAGGTCACTAAAAATGAAAGCAACTAAGTCATAATTAACATTTTTAAAAGCATTCACACCCAGATTTTTATGCACATTAAAGCTGAAAGAGCATCTATCAATGATACGTGCCAGATTTGTAGATCAGGTCACCAAATAGATGACTGGGTGTAGTTTGGGTGACCATCCACTAAGGTAAGGCAAAGAGGTACATGAACACATTGAGGAAGGGGAAAGAGTGGCCCAATTTTGAACATTTGGAACTTATGTAGGAGACATTCAAGCGGAAGATTACAGAGGAGAATTGGATATAGTATGTTGGAGATCAGAAAGAGAGCCCGGTTGGAGATGTGGATTGGTAATCATAATCTAGTACGGAATGTAGGACCATAAGTGTGCATAAGCCTTGAGGGAAAAAACATGTGGAAAGAGAAGAGAGCCAAGGACAATGGTACCCCAGATGCTATTATGTGAGAATTTGCAATTCCTCTGAACTGTTTGTCTCCAAGATGTAGAACTAGAAACTATATGTTTAAAGATGCTGGTTCAATGTGAGACAGCGACTTTCAACAATTGGAGTTCTGTGAATAAATGGACTTTCTGGGGAAATAAGGAGGAACACTTCTTGTATCTCATCCAGCACAATACACTTGTTAGGGATGCTACAGAAAGAATTTAAATTCTGAAGCACTGGGACTATTCCTACCCTGAAATTCCACCATAACCAAGGCTAAATGATTCTTTTAAGGGTAAATGTCCCAGCATGTTCAAACTCTAGCATGCTTAACTGCAATTGCAACAAAACAGCATCAAGTTTTGATGTTAATAATATAGAGAGAATAAAAGGAGATAGCTGCCTCAAGTTTTGTGTGGCACAAGAATTTGATATCTTTCAACCCTTACAAGTTGCTGTTGTAATTTTTCTGCCACTGTCACGATGCAGACTTGAGTTGTGTTAGGAACATAAAGCAAAGAGCAGTAAATTAGAATTCTTAGAAAACTCTATGATCTCTTTTCTCCATAATCCCCAATATATAACCTTTCCTCCACTCTATTGCTAAAACCATCATTCTAAAACAAGATCTTACCATGCTAGGTCTTCGGTGAGATAATGGAGAAAGATTACTTTTGAGGAAACCCTATTGCCTTCAGTCTAGAATCCAACTTGTTGTATTATAAATGGCATGCCATAGTCTGACCCATCTCCTTCTCTAGGCAGTTATTGCTATGATTTTTTTCGCTCCAAAATGGTGTTTACATTATTCTTCATCTGGGAAACTCCTTCTCATCTCTCAAGATCCAATTTAAATGTCCTCTTCTTAGTAGTGCCTTTTCAATTTTCCAAATTAGATTTAATCATCCCACAACAATCTGAACGTACTTCTAATAGAGCAATTGAGACAGTTTTTGGTAGTGATGGGGGTTAGCCATCTTTCTGGTAGCATTGTGTTTTAGGAGCAGATTCTGTCCTTTTCATCTTTTGTCATCAGCACATTGACTGCCCTTAGTAGTGCCTATGGTCCCAAATGTTTACCAAAGCTGTGCCTGACAAGTGTGTGTGCATGTTTGCCAAATTGTACATATGTAATTGTATACACACACACACATTCCAAATCTATCTCCCTCTTTTGTGTGTGTGTGTGTGTGTGTGTGTGTGTGTGTGTGCACTGTTGGAGTTCTAATCTGGCTTTTGTCTTACTAAGTGGGCTCTTAAAAAGATACAAAGAAAATGAAACAAAACATAAATCTGTTTTTCAATAATCTAAAATAGATTATAGTTAGTTATTTGTTCTGGAAGATAAACAAAAGGGACTCCTTGTTTGTCTCTGCCCTCTTCTCACTAGATGATAGATGTTTTCTCCACCGTCTTCATTTCTGTCATCACCTGCATTATGTATTAATCAAGGATTCAGAGGCACAGAAAAAAACAGTAGCCAAAACCTATGATGGAAGTCTAACGAGTAACTACATTTTCCCCTTTCATTATCTGTGCATAACTCAAAGTGGGGGTTGGGTGATCAATTGTATAATATGCACAGCATAACCAATGTCTGATTTAAGTGAAATATTTTGTCTCTAAGTCTCCGTCTCCTTGTCTGTAATATAAGTAGATTTATAACTGCTATACAGAGTTACTTTGGAAATTAAATATTCTAACATAGGCCGGTGCTGTGGCTCACGCCTGTAATCCCAGCACTTTAGGAGGGCGAGGTGGGAGGATCATTTGAGGTCAGGAGCTCAAAACCAGCCTGACCAACATGGTGAAACCCCATGTCTACTTAAAGTACAAAACAATTAGTTGGGCCTGGTGATGCATGCCTATAGTCCCAGATACCTGGGAGGCTGAGACAGGAGAATCCCTTGAACCTGGGAAGTGGAGGTTGCAGTGAGCCGAGATCATGCCACTGCACTCCAGCCTGGGTGACAGAGCAAGACTTTTCTCAAAATAAAAAATAATAATTCTAACATAAATAAAAATTCTGAATACGTAGAAATAGTAGTTACCTTGTTCCCAAACACTTGCTACAGAGGTCTGTTGACAAACGTAGCCCTGTGCCTTCACCTGCTCTCTGTTCTTTCAAGATTCTCAATTCCTACATTATATGGCATACTCTATACAGAGCACTAAACTGAGGAAACCCCAAGGATAACAGTGTTTCCTATTTGATCAATTTATATCACCATGACTCTTGCAGGTTGTGTTCCCTGGAAAACAAACTCCAAGATAGAGATTAAAATATAGGAGGTTCACTAGAATGTGTTCTTGGGATTGATATCTATGGAGGCCAATTGGGAGAAGAGAGAAGTTGGGCTGCAGTGAAGTCTCAATCAAGGTCTCAGCTTATTTCACTCAGACCTCTAAAAATGGCCTGGTGCTTCAGAATTGTCCTGCACTGGGACAAAAGGCTCAAACCATTATACCATTATATGAACCAGTTACTCCATGCAGGTTACCATGAGAAGAAGGTACAACCATGGAAGTCAACTCTCCTTAGGTAAGTCAATTCCCAAAAAGTGTGGATGCTGAGCACTGCCTATGAGAAGCTGCCTTTCCTGCAGAGGGAAAAATAAGTCTTTCAGTCTTGAAAAAGGATATGGGTGGAATGTAATAATGTCCACTATAATGACATCATTTACAGAGCTCAGTACTGCCAAAAGTACTTAGGGGGAAAAGTTGGGAAGAATTGATTTCTGAAAGTTAAAAAATTATAAGAACAGTTACAGATTTGATTATTTTTTAAAATAATCAATTTTGAAAAATAAAGAAATGGTAGTGGAGAGGAAAGAGAGGGAAGAAGGCCATTTGTGGGCTGACAGTTAATGTTGAGGGCAGCAAAATAAAATGTATAGCCAAGGATTTGAATCTTTACTCTTACTTAGTTGCTATGTGGTTCTGGGAAGTCACGTGACCCCTTGGACTTCTCCTTTCCCACTTGCAAGTGACAATAGCAACTATTTCACATGATAGTTATGAAGATTATGAGATATTGTAAGTGTAACCCATCATGGTGTAAAGGAAAGATGGCATGGAAAAAATGGTATTAGTATTATTTTAGGATTGGCTCTTATATAGGTAACTAAGGGAGTCACTGTGTTAGTCAGGGTTCTCCAAATAAGATAGATAGATAGACACATAGATGATAGATAGGTAGGTAGGCAGAGAGATGAAGAAAGAAAAAGAAAGAAAGAAAGAGAGAAAGACAGAAAGAAAGAGAGAAAGAAAGAGAAAGATCAATCAATAGATCTCACATACACACACATACACACACACACACACATACATACACAGATTTTATTATAAGGAATTTGCCCAAGTGAATATGGTGGCTAACAATTCTCAAGATTCTCAATCGCCAAGCTGGAGAACCAGGAGAGATGATGATGTAGTTTCAGTCTGAGTCCAAAGGCCTGAGAACCAAGAGAGCTAATGGTATAAGTCCCAGCCTGAAAGCTTTAGGGCTCAAGATCCAAGAAGGGCAAGTTTCAATCTAAGTCTGAAAGCAAGAAAAAAACCAATGGCCCACCTGGAGCAGTCAGGGAGGAGTTTTCCTTTACTTACAGGGTCAGCTTCTTGTTCTATTCACACCCTCCATGAACTGGATAAGGCCAACCCACATTAGAGTGGGCAATCTCCTTTATGCAGGCCATCATTAAAATGTTAATCTTATTCAGAAATACCCTCACAAACACACCCAGAATAATGCTTGGCTAAATGCCTGGATATCCTATGGTCCAGTCAAGTTGACACGTAAAATTCACCATCACAAACTTTTCACTCCAGATTCAAGCATTGTGTTACAACTCTTTAGGAGTCTACATCATAGAAGAAATTCTGGAGTGTATCTCTAACCAACTGATCTAGTCTCCATGAACTGTCTCTGGCACTGAGCCCCAAATTAATCTGACAGCTACCCATCTCTAGACATGTCAGTATATTCTTGAGGCCCTGTCATTAAGGTGAGATTCTTAATCTGTTATTCTTCTGGTTTACTTTCCCAACATCCTGCTAAATGCAGAGTTATTGTCATTTATTTCTAGGCTCATGGGCATTTGGAGAGGAAAGACTTCTTCAATCTAAGGGTAAATAGGAGGAACGAAAGTCCATGAGAAAGAATATAAAAATAAAACTAGATCTTTTGTCATTTAAGAATTAATTGCCTCAAGTCTTTCTCCTATATTTCTATGAACTAGAAAAAAATGGTGTCTTTCTTCTCCGTAGCCAATGAAATAATGAGCTTGACACTACCCTAGCATCTCTAGAGATCAGGCTCCCAGGTGCCTTCCCATCACACAGGGACGGTACCTGCAATTAGTAGAGACTCAGTGGTTGTTGGCTATATGCACAGTTTGATTGTTTGAGAGTAACTGTTCACCTTTTAAAGACCTTGAGCTTTTGGCTTCATAGACTCTAAATAGTGTTAACACAATTTATTTGAAGAGGGTCATTGCCCAATAATGCTGATCTATTTTTTTTCCACTCAGCAAATGCATTATTTGATTTTCTCTTCTTCCCAATTAGCATCAATGGTGGATTTTCTAACGGTGCGATCTGAGCTTGAAGGTTAAACATGGCATGCTTGTCTGTTGTTCAAATCAATGCTGTTCTGACATTGCTATTCCTCACCTTAACTTCCATTGATGATTTGATTTAAACCAGCTGTTTTTGCTAATTCTGTAATTAGTGACTTGGCAAAGCACTAATTATGTTGGGAGGTAGAGAAAAATAACTCAGATTTACATATGTAATGAAATTTCAGCATGAAAATGTTGTTCCAAAGAATGATAATATATAATGTGAAACTCAAGTTTACACAAAATAAAAATAAGAAACTCACAAAATGCTCTAGTACCTTAGATCCATACAGTTGTATTTCTCCATTTTGTGAACACCTAGTGTATGCCAGGATTGTGCCAAGTGCTATACATACATTACTATATTTTCCACAGTGACCCTAAAAGATGTATTATCAGTTGCATTTTACAAATGAGAAACTAAGACCCAGGGATGCTCAATATTTTTTCAGTGTCTCATGGCCAAAAAAGCAAAGAGCAGAGATTCAAACTTAGATCAGTTTAATCTCAAATTTCATATTCTTCAATTTTTTTTCCACAACTCTTAGCTATTTTCTTCCACTCCTGATGAGTAAAATTCTACTAAAGTCACACCTATCACAGTTCAAGCAAGTTGAATGTTTTGTCCTTTTTATGGTTGTTCATGTGAATGGCTGGAATGTTGTGCCTAGTGTCCCTACAAAATAAGTTGGGTATATGGAACCTGGTCTCCATTTAAAGATCAAAAATTATCTGTGCATTTGGCCATGTGTTATAAATTTTTTAACTATGTTGGAATTTCTGCTATTAATTGTGTGCAACAGCTTATATTACAGGTCTAGAAGTGTCAATTCCACATGCATGTAATTGCCATGGATGTACATTTCTTTGTTCTCAGCATTCTATAGCATTCCCTATATTTTTGTTCCAAGAAAAATTCTGATGATTAGAAAAATGTGACCTTTTTTTCTATTATTCTATGCTAGATTTGGAAACAAACATCTCAATGGTGGCTCGAGCTACAATATTTTACAGTTGTTTCCTCTTAGCTGTAACCACTTTTCTGCTTTTTCTGGTTTCAGTTATCTGTGGTCAATCAAGGTCTGAAATAGGTGAGTATAGTACAATAAGATATTTTGAAGGAGAGTGTGTGTGTGTGTGAGACAGACCACATTCACATAAATTTTAATACAGTATATTGTTATAACCATCCTATTTTATTATTAGCTTTTTCTAATACATTTTCATCTCCATTAATAGTCAAATTCACAGACTTTGCTTTTATTAAAAAATAGACATTCAACTTAAAATGATACATAAATGACAAAGAAGAATAAAAAAGTAGGATAAATATAGTAATATACATAAATTATGTCAATATAGTTAAAAGTAAACAGTACTGAACTAAAAATGGAAAAAAAAATCATAATAAATTCAAGTACTTGGTCTTTAAATAATTGGTTTAAAAAACCACTAGATTATCTAATCAAGTATAAAGAATAAGAATGATAATAAATACATAGCAGGAATGATTAATATGATTAAGCCACAGATATTGAGATTAGAAAAGTATGAGATATTTTATTATTTGCATCAAAATGTTAAATTTCAAAATGTTATTTTATTTTATTTTATTTAATCATTATTTTGTTTTGTTTTTGTTTTTAAATTTTATTTTAGGTACAGTGAATATATGTGCAGATTTGTTCCATGAGCATATCGCACCAAGGTAGTGAGAATAGTACTCGAATAGATAATATTTCGACCCATTCCCCTCTTACTTCCCCCCACCCCTAGTAGTCTGCAGTATCTATTGTTCCCTTGTTTATGGCAATGGGTGCTCAATGTTTAGCTCCCTGTTATAAGTGCGAACATGCAGCATTTGGTGTTCTGTACCTGCAGTAATTCACTTGGGATTATGGCCTCGAACTGCATCCATGTTGCTGCAAAGGACATGATTTCATTCTTGTTTATAGCTGTGTAGTATTCCATGATGTATATGTACTACATTTTCTTTATCCAACCAACAACGTATGGGCACCTAAGATAATTCCATGTCTTTGCTATTGTGAATAGTGCAGCAATGAACATACAGGTGCATGTGTTTTTCTAGTCTAATGATCTATTTTTGAGGTATATACCTGGTAATGAGATTGCTGGGTCAAATAGTAGCTCTGCTTTAAATTCTTTGAGAAATCTCCAAACTGCTTTCAACAGTGGCTGAACTAATTTATATTCCCATCAACAGTGTATAAGCATTCCCTTTTCTCTGCATCCTAGCTAGCATCTGTTGTTTTTTTGTCTTTTCAATAATAACCATTCTGACTGGTGTGAGATGAATCTCATTGTGGTTTGATTTGCATTTCTCTGATGATTGCTGATATTGAGCATTTTTTCATATGTTTCTTGGTCACTTGTAAATCTTTTGAGAAGTATCTGTTCATATCCTTTGCCTATTTTTTTTTTTTTTTTTTTTTGAGATGATGTCTCGCTCTGTCACCCAGGCTGGAGTGCAGTGGTGAGATCTCGGCTCACTGCAACCTCTGCCCCACTAGGTTCAAGAGATTCTTCTGCCTCAGCCTCCTGAGTAGCTGGGACTACAGGCATGTGCCACCTGGTCCAGCTAATTTTTGTATTTTTAGTAGAGATGGGGTTTTGCCACGTTGGCCGGGCTGGTCTCAAACTCCTGACCTCAGGTGATCCACCCGCCTTGGCCTCCCAAAGTGCTGGGATTATAAGTGTGAGCCACCGTGCCCAGCCTCCTTTGCCATTTTTTAATGGGGCTATTTGTTTTTCATTTGTTGGGTTAAGTTCCTCATAAATTCTAGATATTAGACCTTTGTCAGATGCATAGCTTGGGAATATTTTCTCCCATTCTGTAGGTTGTCTATATACTCTGTTGATTGTTCCTTTTGCTGTGCAGAAGCTCTTTAGTTTACTTAGATCCCACTTGCCAATTTTGTTTTTGTTGTAATTGCTCTTTGGACCTTAGCCAAAAATTATTTGTCAAGGCTGATGTCACGAAGGGTATTTCCCAGGTTTTCTTCTAGGATTTTTATACTTTGGGGTATTAAATTTAAATTTTTAATCTATCTTGAGTTAATTTTTATATGGTGAAAGTAAAGGTCCACTTTAATTCTTCTGCATATGGCTAGCCAATTATCCCAACACTATTTATTGAATAGGGATTTCTTTCTTCATTGCTTGTTTTTTTTTTTTTTTTTTTTTTTTTTTTTGCTAGCCTTGTTGAAGATCAGATGGTTGTGAGTATGTGGCTATATTTCTGAGTTTTTTAATTCTCTGCCATTGGACTATGTGTCTATTCTTGTACCAGTACCATGCTGTTTTGGTTACTATAGCCTTATAGTATAGTTTGAAGTCAAGTAGTGTGATGCATCCAGAATGTTCTTTTTGCTTAAGATTGCTTTGGCTATTTGGGTTCTTTTTTGGTTCCATATGCATTTTAGAATAGTTTTCTGACTCAATGATCTGTCTAATGCGTCAATGGGGTGTTGAAATCTCCCACTATTATTGTGGGTTGTCTAAGCCTTTTCATAGGCCAATAACAATTTGTTTTATGAATCTGCATGCTCCAATGTTGGGAACATATTTATTTAGGATGGTTAAAGCTTCTTCTTGGATTGTACCCTTTATTATTATGTAATGTCTTTCTTTGTTCTTCTTATTTTTTATTGGTTTAAAATCTGTTTCGTATGACATAAGAATAGTGACTCCTGCTCTTTTTATTTCCAATTTGCATAGTAGATCTTACGTCATCCTTTTATTTTGAGCTTATGGGTCTTATTACATGTTAAATGGGTCCCTTGAAGACAGTAGAGGGTTGGGTCTTGTCTTTTCATCCAGGTTGCCATTCTATGTCTTTTAAGTGGGGAATTTAACCCATTTACATTCAGGATTAGTATTGATATCTGAGATTTTGATCCTGTGATCGTGTTGCTAGCTGGTTGTTATATAGACTTGATTGTGTGATTGCTTTATAATGCCTGTGGGCTATGTCCTTAAGTGTGTTTTTGTGGTAGCTAAACAGTTCCATGTTTAGCACTCTCTTAAAGACTTCTTATAACTGGTCTAATTGAAATGTATTTCTTCAGTGTTTGCATGTCTTATAAGGATTTTATTTCTCTTTCACTTATGAAACTTAGTTTGGTAGGATATGAAATTTTTGGTTGGAATTTTTTTAAAAAGATGCTGAAAATAGGCCCCTAGTCTCTTCTGCCTTGCAAGGTTTCTTCTGAGAGGTCTGCTGCTAGCCTAATGGGGTTCCCTTTGTATGTGACTTGACCCCTCTCTCTGCGTGCCTTTGAGATTTGTGTGTGTGTGTGTGTGTGTGTGTGTATTGATCTTGATGAATGACCACCTTGGGGGTGGTCATCTTGTATAGTATCTCACTGGGGTTGTCTGTAATTCTTGGATTTGCATGCTAACCTCTCTAGTAAGATTAGGAAAATTTTCATAGACTAGATCCTCAAGTATATTTTCCAAGTTGTTTATTCTCTCTCCTTCTCTCTCAGGAATGCCATTGAGTCATAGATGTAGTCTATTTACATGGTACCATATTTCTCAGAGATTTTGTTTACATTTTTTTCTTTATTTTTGTCTGACTGAGTTGATTTGAAGAACCAGTTGTTGAACTCAGAGATTCTTTCCTCAGCATAGTATATTCTACTGTTAATACTCTCAATTGTATTATGAGATTCTTGTAGTGAATTTGTTTAGCTCTAGAAGTTCAGTTTGGTTCTTTCTTAAAGTGGCTCCTTTAAGCTCTTGGATCATTTTACTGGATTCCTTAAATTCCTTGGATTGAATTTCAACTTTCTCAATGAGTTTCTTTGCCATCCAGATTCTGAATTCTATGTCTGCCATTTTAGTAATTTCAGACTGGTTAAAAACCATTGCTGGGGAGCTAGTGGGCACATATGGTGGTAAGGGGACACTGGCTTTTTGAATTGCCAGAGTTCTTATGCTGGTTCTTTCTCCTCTGGGAGGATTAGTGTTCCTTTCACTGTGGTGTAATTTAAGTATACTCAGTTGGCTTCATAGATGTTTCAAGAGGGCCAAGGCCCTGTGCAGAGTCTTTATTTGTGGCTGAATTCTTGCCGTTGGTTTCACAGGGGCATATATTAGCAAAGTATTTTTGGCATTGTAGTGTGGGCTGAAATCCAGTACATGGCTCCTAAGAATAATGGCTGGTAAATAGGCTGAGTGCCACATGGCTGCATTGTATTTCCCCCTGTTTGCAGCCATGTTCTGCAGTAAGACTGAGAGAGAGGTGACTTCCTCACCAGATCCACTCCTGTGCTTTGAGGGAGACCCCTCAGATCACTGGCGCTGCACCCTTGTTTCTTTTATTAGGTGTTCTGGGCTGCAGGGCTCTCTTGGGCAGAGGTCATGGCAGGGAGATAGGCCACACCTTTTCCTGGCCAGCCTTGTGGAGGGAGGCAGCCCTGCAGCAGCCCACAAACCATGCAACTACCCCCGCTCAGTGCTCTGGGAGTGTATTAGTCCATTCTCACACTGCTATAAAGATACTTCCTGAGGCTGAAGGAGGTTTAATTGATACACAGTTCCACATGGCTGGAGAGGCCTCAGGAAACTTACAATCATGGCAGAAGGTGAAGGAGAGGCAAGTACCTTCTTCACAAGGTGGCAGGAAAAAGAACAAGAATGAAGAGGGAAGAGGCTCTTATAAAACCATCAGATCTTGTGAGAACTCACTACCATGAGAACAGCACAGGGAAAACTGCCCCTGTGATCCAATCACTTCCCACTAGGTCCCTCCTTCGACACATGGAGATTATAATTCACAATGATATTTGGGTGGAAACACAGAGCCAAACCACATCAGAGAGTGTGAGCTTTGCTCCTGCTTGAGTGTCAGGCACCAATCTCAGGTTGGCACTCCTAAGCATTGTGTGCACTGCAGCCCCTGGGAGAGCTCAGGGTTTTTGTTCCCTCCCCAGCTTAGGGTCAGCAGGGGCACAGACCTAGGCAGTGGCAATGGCAGAGGACCTGTCACTTGTCTCTGTGAGCTCCACCCCAGAGAAACACAGAGCTCCTGTCAATTGGAATGATTAGCGAGGGGTGGAGTAGCTGCCCTGGCACTCTGTGCCACAGTTGGGAAGGGGGGCTTCCTAGAGAAGAGTGGGAGTGGGGCTCACTGGGAAGACAGTCACAGGGAAGACTGTCTGGCCTCCTCTCTGTAATGTGGCCATGGCATGCTGGACGTAGGAACAGAGCAATCAGATCTGTTCCTCCTCCCTAACCCTGGGGATGGTGGCAGTGTCAGAGGAGCTGTCAGTTGCCTCTGGGAGCACCACTCGAAAGAAATGCAGAGCCACTT
Organism: Homo sapiens; assembly: GCF_000001405.40. NCBI lineage: Eukaryota > Metazoa > Chordata > Mammalia > Primates > Hominidae > Homo > Homo sapiens. The sequence goes on from NC_000010.11 coordinate 83,580,246, forward strand.
CCAATCAGAATGTTCAACTTAGAGTCAGGTAGCTATGCCGAAGGCCCACGCCAGAGAGTATGGGGGCTTCTGGTGAAGAGCAGGGGGTTGGGGTCTCACAGGGAAGACAGCTTGTCCTCTTCTCCATAGCATGGCTGCTGTATGCTGTAGAAGCAGACAGACAAGCAATCAGGTTCTTTGCTTCCTCCCTAGCCTAGGGGAGCAAGGGTGGTTACTGCTGTGGTGGCAGTGGCAGAGAGCCTGCTGACAGTCTCCAGGAGCTCTACCCCAGAGAAATGCATGGCTGCCACTGATTGAACTGATTAGGCAGGGGTAGGGCAGCTGTGCTGGGAGCCCAGGCCAGCAAGCCCTGTCCAGTGAATAGTAGCAGGGTCAGGGATCCACGTGGAAAACAGTCTTGCTACTTTTCCATATGGCAGCGGCAGCATGCTAGAGGCCCCTGACAGTTCTCAGGCTCTTCACTCCCTTCCCATCCTGAAGGCAGCAGGGGCAAGGATAATAGCAGAGGCAATTGTTGTGGGCCTGGGGATTACCTCTGGGAGTTCTGTGACCTGCCAGAGTGCTCAGGCAGAAGTGGGGTGGCTGCACTGGGGTCCCAGGCCAGTGGGCTTTGCTTGGTAACAAGCGGCAGTGACGGGGTCTGCAATCCATCTGCTCCTCAGCACAGTGGACACAGCCCCTATCCTGGGGGTTCATGAAAGAGCTTGGCTTCCCTCACTGGTGGGGCTACAGCAGCTGACAATGGGGTGTTCAAGGATCTAAGACCCATAGGGCTCCCCATGGGCCTGAGTGTGGCTCTTCCCAGATTCCAGGCAACTCGCTGTGTCAGTCTGCAGGCCCCGGGGGTTGGGGGCTATCCAGAGATTATCTCTTGTGTTCCCTAGGATTGCAAAGGTTTGTGGCAGAAGTATGAGTCCCAGGGGCTCTCACTCACTCACCTTTTCCTCATGGTAGAGAGCCTCCCCTGGCCTTGGGCCAATCCCGGGTGGGCTGTTGTCCTGCCTCAGTCCTCTCTGCTTTCCATGGATTGCTGTTGCTTCCTGGATGAATCCCAGTTTGCCTTCGTAGATAATCCACTTGAAGAGCTAGTGTTTACCCGGCACCCTGTCTCTTCTCTGTCAGAGCATGGCACACTAGCTGCTGCTGGTCAGCCATCTTGGTGCTTCTTTCTATTGTTAGTTATTATTGTTAATCTCTTACTGTGCCTAATCTATAAATAAAACTTTATCATAGGTGTGTACGTATAGGACAAAACATGTTGTACATAGGAGTGAGTACTATTCAAATTTCAGGCTTCCACAGGAGTCTTGGTATATTCCTCATGGATAAAGGGGGACTGTTGCATATAGCAAATCACTTAAAAACAAATAAATAAATCCAATGAAGGAAAAAGTATGCTTATTGAACAATAATCAGACAGCATTGTTTTATATTCATTATCTCATTTTATCTTTCCAGCAACCTTACGAGATAAGGCTTTTTTGATGAAATTGGGGCTGAAGAAAGTCAAATGTCTTGACCAAGTACTCAGTGAACTAATGACGATTAGTGCTTCTGATATCAAAGCCCCTGTACTTTGCATCCATAAAACATAGCTAATTAACCAATAGACTCTTGTGCCAAGGCTGGAATGCTTTGAGAACTCCCTCTCCACATTGAGTATGCAACACAAACATAGAGCTGTCTCAGTAGTCACCAGTCAATTGATAGGAAGTGGCACACACTTTGAAATCCATTTCTAACTTTACCTCCAAGATATTGCTATGGCTTGAATGTCCCCTCCAAAACTCTGTTGGAACTTAATCCCCTATGTGGCTATATTGAGAGGTGGGATCTTTAAGAGGTGATTGGGTCATGAAAGCTCTGTCTTCTTGAATGGATTAATCCACTCGTGGATTAATTGATTAAATGGTTAATGGATTAATGAGTTATCACAGGAGTGGGACTGGTGGCTTTAAAAGAAGAGTAGTAGAGTCCTGAGCTAACAAGTTCAGACCCCTCACCAACAGACACCCTGTGCTGCCTCTGGACTCTTCAGAGAGTCCCCACCAGCAAGAAGGCACTAACAAAATGCAGCTCCCTCAACGTAAAACCTCTCTTTCTTCATAACTGTAAGAAACAATTTTTTCAAATAAATTACCCAATTTCAGGTATTCTGTTATAAGCAACAACAGACTAAGAAATACAGATACTAATATGCTGGCAGAGCCTTTTAGACACTTAGAGAAGGAGGCAGGCAGCCACATCACCCTGCTGCCTTGCTTGTCTTTGGCTGGTTAATACATCACATATGGTGGATCTCTGTGCCAGCCTCTCTAATAGGTCACCCAGGCCCAGGGCATACAGGTGATCACTTGGGCCAAGCTGCCTTCCCCAGAGGCAAACACCAACAAGCTCAAGGTCTTATCACCCTGGGGGATTGAGCCACCACTCTTTATAGAACTCATGTTTCATTTAACTAAGAAAACACATTTTAAAATCGATTTTCTCTCAAAATACACTTGGGTTTTGTAGATGAATACAGAAAATAGTTTTCTAAAGTTAAATAATTCCTTGGAGAGAGTTTGCAGAGCAGCCTCTAAGTTAAACATACGTATGTATATAAGCCACATTTCTTTCTACATCACTCAATGAGGTCTCTTTATAATTTAAATTAGGTGAGATGAAGAAGGCAGAGGGCCTACACCACACTCAAAACTTTCCCTTTTTATTCTGACTCCCTTTCTTCCTAAAGATCCCTTCCCTCAGACGCTTCTGTGAATAATTGATGAAGATATTGAACCAGTTAAGTCCAATTTTAAAATTAAATTACAAGTAATATAGTCAAAAATTTTTTAACAGAAAAAAGTTCAAAATTACAAAAAACATGATTTGAATTATTTGTACCTAATCCCTTAGCTTCATTTTTTACAACACTCTTTGAATTTATTCTTTAATAGATTAAAAAATTGAAAAGAAAATGTATATTTCCTTTCAAAGAGAGAAATGTTCAAAGACACTATGGAGAAAGGCAGAGAATGTAGAGACTATAAAAAGCCATTCTGTGTAATTACATTTGTAGAATAATATTTGTAGAAAACTAAGGTTTTCTACTTAAGATTAAGAAACAGTGATGTAGATCAAATCATTGTGCTAGAAGAATAAATTATATTGCTACATGATTTCTACTCAAAATATTTTTCTAAATACAATTATAGAAAATACGAACAAATAATTTAGAAAATAAGTACATCCCAGTCTCACAGCACTTAGATGAGATTTTTGTAACACTATAGCTAATATTTTTATTATTTCCATCCAGTAATTTTTCTATATATAGGCACATTTAAATACATTTAATTTTATAAGTTTAGAATTTTATGTAAGTTTGTATATGTTTCTGTGAGCATCTGTGTATATATATGTGTAAAGATGTGTATATTTGAGTATATGTGCATATACATTCAGACAGGTGTGCACATCTGTGCATGTATGTGTGTCATATGCACATGTGTGCATGTGTATATATGTATGTTTTATATGCACATGTGTATAATCATTTATATATTTGTACATGACATATGTTAGCTCAGAACTCTTCTCCTCTTCTTATAAAGCCATGTACATAGGGCATGTACAAATAGAGAAGATTTTATGTGTTTATCAGTATGTGTGCATGAGTCTTTATATATTCAAATATAGGTATGTGTACACTTGTGTCTGGATATGTGTATATGTGCATTCATGTTTGTGTTTGTATGCCTGCATATGTGTGTGTACTTTTACTAAAAACATATGTGGTACTGTAATTGTCATTTAACTCTAAAGAATTTTTAATATTGGTTTTTTATTCTTTGTTCTTTTTGATCTCATATATTTCTAGTCTTATGTTCCATAATTTAAAAGATCAAATAGTTTTACAAAGTTTGTTATAGAAACCTCACCATATTTCTCATTCCTTTTAAGTAACTAATTTAAAGTCAGTGAACCACATCTTCTGTTATTTGACTTAATGTATCTAAAGAATATACTTAGATTGTTAAAAACCTCTAGTCTTAAAAATTATATATTGATTTCTCCAAATATAATATGGATTCTTAGCTGTTTTTTACTGATTCTTTGCAACACCACTCCAACCCATCCTAACACCCCCACACTTTTCCCAATATACTTTAATTTTGGCTAGATAGGTAGTCATGCCTACTTCAGTATGTCCATAAATATTAGCCACCATTGATTATATTGTTGCCTGAACAACATACTATTTTCTTATAGCTTATTTTCTGTGAGCTCATCATTACTTCACAACCAAACTTTTTCAGCGGTGAAATTCTCATTACAAGAAGTTGAGACACATTAGGTATGCTGCCACTGTTACCTGCTTGATGAGACCCTTACAGCTTTTCTTAGATGCCTCAGGCTGGACAGAAGGGATTCCTGGCCTGCTGGGTACCTGTCCTTTTAGAATCTTACCATCATCCTGAGGATTCCATTTGCTTCTGTTGCATTGGATCCTCTATTTCTTGGATTCCTTATTGTTCTCCTTGATTTACTCCATCGATTTGGCAGGACATATCCTGTAGTGGTTTCCCGAGAAAGAGCGTGTTATAGGTAAAGTTTTAAAATATTCAGTTTTGATAATTTCTTAATTAACTCCCACAATTAATTTGATTGGGAATAGATTCTCAGTTAGAAATAATTAATTTTGAAGAAATTTCTACATGTTTTCTAGTTTCCAAGGGTGTGATTAAGGTATATAATGACTATTGAACCTCTGATTCTTGATTCTTTCTCTCTCTGTGTGTGTGTGTGCATTATACATATACATATATATATACTATATATGTATATATATAGTATATATATATAGTATATATATATACTATATATATAGTATATATATAGTATATATATACTATATATATACTATATATATACTATATATATATATACTATATAGTATATATATATATATATTCTGTCCCCATAATCACATAAGATATTTTCATGTAGGTCTCTTTTCACTCAATGTATTAGGTGACTACAGCCTGTTCACTTTTTAAACACTTCTTTTTAATTTCTGGGAAAATATTTTCCATTATTTGATCAATAATTTCCTTTCCTCCCTTTTCTCTCTTCTCTCAGAAACTCATTTCTAGGGTTAAATATTAGGTTACTGGACCTCCTAGATGGGTTCTGTAATTTATCTTTTCTCTCCCATTGTCATCTCATTTTCTATGTGTTGACTTGCAGGATATAGGATTCTAGTTTGACTTTTTTTTTTCTTTAAAAAAAAATGGGCTTTAAATATGTTATTCCATTGTCTTATAGTCTCCGTTGCTGTTTTCTGATGAGAAGTCAGCCATTCTTACTATTGTTTTCTCTATTTAATATGTTTTGTTTTCCCTGGCTACTTTCAAGGCTTTCTCTTTATTTTCGGTTTTCGCATAAGACCCAGAGTACTGGTTCTCTATCTCTTCCCCACATTTAGGCAGATAAATAGATTTCTCTCTGATGTCTTCCCTCCAGCAAAGGTCTATGTATTGCTTAGCTATTGCTGCACAACACTCTCCAAAACTTAATGGCTTAAAACATCAAAGATTCATTTTCTGAGAATTTCTCTGAGTCAGAAGTCTGGGAGCCACCTAGCTAGACAGTCTGGCTTTAGAGTCTCTCACAGGACTGCAATCAAGATATGGCTGAGTTGGGAGACATCTCGGGATATGACTGAGGAAAGAGACTTCTAATCTCTCAAAAGAACTTCCAAGTTCATTTACATGGGTCTCTCTACAGTGCAGTCTCATTAGCAACCTGGAGAGAGTGAGAGAGAGCGATGGCAAAGAAGAAAGACTTTCATATTAACATCAGAAGTAATGTCACTTTTGCCACCTTCCATTCATTACAATCTAGTTAATATGCCCGGCCCAAACTCAAGGGGAGAAGATCACTCAAAGGCATGAATATCATGAAGCAGGGATCACTAAGAACATCTTAGAAGCTGCCTATGACAGACTGTATCTGTCTCCTAAACTATATAAGTGCCAGAGCTCAAGTGGGTTTATCTAGTTCTCCTCTGACCTCAGACAATAGCAGACCCAGCATACCTGTATCTCAGATAGGGGTCCCTACCTTTACTCTTTCAAGAGAGCACTTAATAAGGTCCTTGGAAAAGAGATAATAGGTAGTTATAGGTTCCTTTGTGTCTGGGGCCCTCCAAGATACCAATCAGTCCAGACCACAGTAAGCCTTTAAATTTTTATTAAAAATTCAATTACAGCCACATTCACTTGTGTCTGTGGTGACTTCCACCTTCTCATGTTACTCTGCCAAAGATGAAAGCAGAATCCCAACCTGGCAAGAAAAGGCTGGTAATTTCTGGATTTTTTTTCATTAGGTTACCTTGTGATCTCAGCTTTCTCATGGACATAAAATAATTGTCATTTTGTCTATCATCTGGTTAGTTATAATTACTAAAGTAAGGGAGACATTCTACTATGGCTTTCCACATATTACGTGGAAGGAGTGTGTTTTCCAATTTCTTCCTCCATCCCCATGTCTTCTTTCTACTTATCTTTGTCCTGTGGCTTTATTTCTCAAATGATAAAATTAAAACTCAACTTATTGTTATTTTGGTGAGGTTCTTTGAGAAAATGATGCCAAACATGTCATTCAGCTCTTCATCTCGTATATATATTTGTGAAAAATAATTCGTTAGAAGCACTGGGCACAGATGGTCTGTGGTTGGTTGTTTAATACTGAAGTGTATAGATCTGAGTATGATACTTTTTTATTTTTTTTTGGAGACCGAGTCTCACTCTGTCACTCAGGCTGGAGTGCAGTGGCATGATCTCGGCTCACTACAACCTCCACCTCCCAGCTTCAAGCAATTGTCCTGTCATAGCCTCCTGGGTAGCTGGGACTACAAGGCGCCTGCCAAGACGCGCGGCTAGTTTTTGTATTTTTAGTAGAGACGGGCTTTCACCATATTGATCAGGCTGGTCTCCAGCTCCTGTCCTCAGGTGATCCACCCACCTTGGCCTCCCAAAGTGCTGGGATTACAGGCGTGAGCCACAGCACCCAGCCCTGAGTACAATAATTTTATAATTCTAAATCTTGTTGACTTTATGCAATAAATGCAGCTATATATAATATTTTGCAGCCATATATAAACATAATTTTTAAAAATTGTGAGACTTCCTTTGTGACCTAAAATATGCTGAATTTTAGTGAATTTCTGAAATGTTTGGAAAAAATTTATTCTCTATGTCCTAGCTGTAAAATACTATTTTATCTATTAGATAAATCTTAACAACATTATTCAAGTCCTCAATATTCTGCCTTATTTTTATCTATATAACCTACTAATTTTGAGAGAAGTGTGTTAAAAAACTTACTCTGATTATTGACTTGTAAGCTTACTTTTACATTTCTAACAGATTCTGTAGTACGTATTTTATCATTATGATATTATGGTTATAAGGTAGCCTTGATAGATTGTATATTTTGTCACCATAAAATGTCTCTCTTCGTTCTTTTATCTACCTGTAGTTAGTTTTGGAAATATCTCTATTTGTTCTTTTTCTGTTTTTAGTTAGCTTTGTATTTATACATCTTGTTCAATTTCTAAAGTCTTTAAAACAGCTTTATTTTCTTGAGAATATCCATTTGATGAAGAGAATGTCCTTTCCCCTTTGAATTGTGTTAGCGAATGTTTTTTAAAAAATCAGTTGACCATAAATGTTAGGGCTTAGTTTTGAACTTTTAATACTGTTCCATTGATTGTATGTCTGTTCTTATGCCATGCCACAGTGTCTTTATTACTCTAGCTTTATAGGACATTTTGAAAGCTGGTGCAGATCATAATCTCATAAGATACAATCCCAAACACCATGATCTCAAATACTGAAATCTCAGAAGATCACAATCTCTAAAAATCAAACTCCTTAAAGTCTAAAAATTCCTAACATCTAAAATCCCAAAAATGATAATTCTGAAAGATTAAAATCCCAAATGTTGAAATTCTTAAAGCCAAATTCTGGGGAAGGTTTTGGTACATTCTTAGTTGTGCACAGTATAGTTGCATCATGTTAAGTGGAACTATCACCTTGTTATTGTATTTACTTGGAAATTAAGTATAACTTAAGAAGATGTGAATGGGTGACAGGTTGACAAAGGATAGATTTATCGACTTAATTTTAGGTGTCGACTGGATTAAGGGATACCTAGAAACCCAGTAAAGCATTATTTAAGGTGTGTCTGTGATGGTGTTTTCAGAGAAGACTAGTGTATAAGTCTGAGAGGACTAGGTGGGGAAGATCTGCCCTCAGTGTTGGCAGGCTCCATCTAATGGACAGGGTCCTGAAGAGAACAAATACATAAGCCAATTTGATCTCTTTCTGAGAGCTGGGACAGACTTTTCTTCTGCTGCCTTGGGCATCATAACTCTAGGCTTGCTGGCCTTTGGATTCCAGGACTTCCACCCCAGCTACCTCCCAGGTCCTGAGGATTTGGTGTGCAAACTTAGAGCTACATCATCAGCTTTCCTGGTTCTGAGGCCTTCAGACTTGGACTGAGCCACTCAACTGGCATCTCAAGGTCTCCAGCTTGCTGACAGCCTGCTGTGGGACATCTCAGCCTCCATAACTGTGTAAGCCAATTCCCCTAATAAACCTCCTCTGATATATCTATCTACATGTCCTATTGGCTCTGTATCTCTGAAGAACCCTGACTAACACAGGTTTGGTACTGGGGAAGCTGAATATCATTTCCTCTTACTGTATTCCTTACAACACAGTGGACGAGATCTGTGAAATTGTTCCCTCACAAAATGGCTTTGATAAGTTAAGGGTACAAGGCTACTTAATGGTGAAAGATAAAAGTTTAAAAGCTAATTATTATTGGTTCTACAAAAGCAGAAAATTGCTTACTTGCAATGGTCCAGCAATAATCAAACTTTTAAAAGAGTGGCATATGCTTACACAATTTGTACATCACAATGACTCCCCAAATACAAATGCAATGAGTGTTTCAAAGATCATAGAAGTAAAAACACGTGCAAAAAATACAAGAAATTTTCCCTGCGAAATTGTTCAATCATGTACGACATCTGCCCCTTCACCCATAGCACCAATTTGCTATGCTATGCATTTTATCTTCACATAATTTTCAATACTGAAGATATAAAGTGCAGAAAGACTTTTAGAGCACTCTAATTCATTTTGTGCACTTTTTGCAAATTTGACTCAACGAAAGTGCATTACCACAACATGGACACTGTGTGTAAGCATTGTGTATGCATGTAAAAATGTGGACACTTCCTCACTAAATAAAAGGATGTCCTTTTTATACATCTGCATAACATTTGTTAATGATAAAATTTCTTGAGATTTCAGCTCTTTGGGTGACTGCATACATAGTGGTGACCCATTGTGTTTTTGATCCATCTCATCAAAAGACATAGGTTGTCGGCCAGGTGCAGTGGCTCACGCCTGTAATCCCAGCACTTTGGGAGACCAAGGCAGGCAGATCACTTGAGGTCAGCAGTTAGAAACCAGCCTGGCCAACATGGCAAAACCCTATCTCTACTAAAAATAGAAAAATTAGCCGGGCGCGGTGGTGCATGCCTGTAATCCCAACTACTTGGGAGGCTAAGGCAGGAGAATCGCTTGAACCCGGTGCGGGGCAGAGGTTGCAGTGAGCCAAGATTGCTCCACTGCCCTCCTGCCTGGGAAACAGAGCAAGACTCTGTCTCAAAAACAAAACAAAACAAAACAAAAAAAACAAAAAAAGACTTAGGTTGTCCACAGTATTTCAAATAACTGCAGTTATAACGCTGGGTGCACACAATTACCAACCATAGTGATATTCATTTATACATTTTGCTTTTTGACCTGTTTCTTCATGAGTACAGTTTATTTGCCCATAACGGTTATATCCATGTAATTGTAATTAGTATAACTGAGTGGTTATGTTTATAAAATATGTAATTACTGCCTATTTTATCATGTAAAGTGACCTATGAAGTGTTCTATGATTTTTTTATGTTTCTCAAATAAATACCCCTTTAAAAATGTAAGTAAATATCTTTAAAACATTTTTAGAATTATATTTTCAGGATTTTGATCTTCCAGGATTATGGTTTTCAGAATTTTAAACTCTAGAGATTTTGATCTTTTGGAATTATGGCATTAGGGATTGTGTCTTTTGGGATTATGGGCCAAACCCTTTGAAATAAAAAAGTGTAAGTTCCATGACTTGGTTTATCTTTTTCAAACCTGTTTGGCTGTTCTAGGTCCTTTGCATACTCACATACATTTTAACATCTCCTTGTTAATTTCTGCAAAAAAAAAAAAAAAAGCCTGAAGTGAATTTTATATGGATTGCATTGAATTTAAATTTTTAAAATATTTTTATCTTATTGATGCTATTATATTTGAAATTGTTTTTATAATTTCATCTTTGACTATTCATTGCATGTAGAAATAAACTACTGAATTTTGTATTTTGACACTGTAACTTTGCTGAATATATTTATTAGTTCTAGTAAGTGCATTAAGAATTCCTCAGGATTTTCTACTTACAAGATCATGCTATCTATGAATAAAGTCAGTTCTACTTCTTACCTTTCATCCTGAGTTCCATTTCTTCTCTTTATTGCATAGGCTACAACGTCTACTATGAGGTTGAATCAAAATGGAAAGAAAGGACATCCTTGCCTTTTTTTCCAACCTTAGAGGAAATGCAGTCTTTCACTAGGTTAGATGTAGATTTTTCATAGATGACTTTCTAAGAGTACCATTCTATTCTATCATTATTTGTTGAAAAATTTTATTATTTTGGCTTTGTCTCATTTTTTAATCTGTTGAGATAATTATGTAATATTGCCTTTTAGCTTATTAATATTGTAAATTATGTTAATTGATATTTTTATATTAAATCAAGCTTCTATTCCTGGGATAAACCTCATTTCTTTATGGTGTATAATCCCATTTATCTATAGCTGGATTTGGTTGCTAATACTTTGTTGAGAATTTTTGTATTTGTATTCCTGAAGGATATTGGTCTATAGTTTTCCTTTCTTACAATGTCTTTTACTCTGGTATATAACACAAATACTGTCCCCTTAGAATGAGTTGGGCATATTCCCTTTCCTTCTGTTTTTCCCTTTTTTTTCAACTTACACTTCTTGTGGATGAGTTGTGAAGGAGTACCATTATTTCTTCTCTATTTCATAGATTTTTCCAGTGAACACATCAAACATGGAATTTTGTGTGTGGGAAGATTTGTGATTATTGATTCAAATTCTTTGCACATTATATGTCTATTCAGATTGTGTATTTTATCTTGAGTCATTTTTGATAATTTCTATATTTCTAAGAATTTGTCTATTTCAACTAAGATGCCTAATTTGTTGGCATAAATTTAATAGTGTCCATTAATAATACTTCTAATTTTTATAGGATTAGTAGTGATGTCCTCTATTTTATGAATGATTTTTAAAACATGTGTTTTCTTAGTTTATTTTTTGGTGAATCTATCCAAAGATTTGTCATTTCTTTTTATACTTTTGGTCCTCATTTGCTACTTTGTCTTATGTTAAATAGATATTTTATGTTGTATCATTTTAATTTGTTTGTTGTTTTATTTTATTGCATCCTTTAATTAATGTATTTATTGTTTTCAAAAGTATCAGGTTGGTAAAAAATTTTGCATATTTTTAAGTTATTTTCTTAGTATTCTTAGTATTGCTCTAGGAATTACAATATACACTGTCTCTTTTCACAGTTAATTTCAGATTAGTACTTAATTTCATTAAAATACAAAATATTTGCCTCAATATAACTCAATTTCTTATCCCTTCTTTGTGCTATATTTACATGCATATGACATATTTTATAGCATATGAAATCTTTATACAATTTCATACTTATTGTTACATGTGATCATCTATTAAATCAGTTAAGAAAAAGGGAAAAATATATATTTACACAGGTTTTATATTTGCCTATATAATTGTGTTTTCTAGTGATCTCTATTTATTCATGTGAATTGGAGATAATATCTGCTTTGACTTCTTTTTAGCCTGAAAGACTATTATTTCTCCTAAGGAAGGTCTACTAGGAATACATGCTATCAGTTTTTGTTTTTCAGAAAATGTCTTTGTCACCTTCACTTTTGAAAGGTAGTTTTTATGGATGTGTATGTGTGTATCTTGGTTGAATTTTTTTCTTTTGGCACTTTGAATATGTCATCCATTGTTTTCTGCCCTCCATTGTCACTGATGAGAAGTCAGCTGTTAATCACATTGTTGTTGTCTGTGTGTGATGAGCCTTTTGTTTTTCTTCTATTGCTTCATTTAATATTTTATCTTTGTCTTTGTCTTTCAATAGTTTGAATATAATGTCTAAGTATGTATCTCTTAATTTATCCAACTTGCGTTTCCTTGAAATTCTTGAGTGCAAAAAATAAATATTTTGCAACTAATTTGGGAAGTTTAAAGCCATTTTATTTTCAAGTAATTTTTCTGTCTCATTCCTACTCTTCTTTTTCTGGGACTCTCCTTGCACATATGCTAATAAATTTGATGTTGTTTCACAGGTCTCTGAGGTTCAATCCTTTTTTCCTCATATTCTTTACTTACTCTTCTTCAGATTGTATAATTTCTATTGATCTATTTTTAAGTTCACTGTTTGTTTCTTCACTGTATTTTTCTCATGATAAATTTTCTCTAATACACTTTAAAAATTTAAGTTATAATATATTTTAACTCCAAAATTTCCACTGAATTCTTTTTCTGAAATCTCTAACTCCTTATTGATATTCTCCCACTCATTATTGTCATATGTTTTTAAAAATTCTTTAGTCATGATTTTCTTAAGTTTTTGAAACATATGTAGTAATCATTTGTATCTGCTAGGCACAGTATCTGCTCTCCATCGGAGATACTTTTTATTGATTGAATTTTTCCTATGTATGAGTTACACTTGTTACTTTCTTGTTACTTGACATGTCTCATACATTATTTTGTGGAAAACCAGGCATCTTGTTAGATAATATATTAAAGAAATCATTGATTCTGGTTTTCCTACAAGGCTTTTTTTTACTGTTCTGTTCTGTTCTGTTCTGTTCTTTTTGTTTGTTTCTTTTTCTGTGACCTGCCTGGTCTCATTCTCCTGTCTGTTACTCCACAGTGTACAGCTCCCGAGATACCTGCTCATTCTAATTTTTTCCTGTTTTTATTTTTAAGCATAGCTTCCTAAAGCTCACACCTAAGTCAGCATATATTAATAAAGAGCCACTGGCTGGCCAGGTGTTTTGCCCTGAAACCTTGAGCTGGTAAGTCTTTCCGCATTTGTTTGCAATGAATATATGCTATGCAATATATTCAAAGTTTTAAAAGTTTACAGATATACCTCAGTTTTGTTTTGTTTTCCCCCGGGCCTCCTCATGTCTCCTCTGCATGTATGGAAGACTTCACATTTATCCAAGGGAGTATAAACAGAGAGGGCTGTCATTCTATCCTGTGCATATAAACAGTCTTGCAAGTGAATACTGCCTTCTAGTCTGCCAGGACTATGTCAGAACTTGAGAAGGCATACTATGGCTATCTCAATCCTCTGATTTCCTTGTTAAATTTATGGTTTGTCTGTCAATCTTGCTTAACTCAACTAATATTGCAACTTTAGGTTGCAATGTTGGCCTCACCTATTCTTTTGCCATTGAGATCACCACTGTTTCATACCCAGAAACATAGCATATTGCTGACTCTGCTCCAAAGGAAGTCAACCTTCAAAAACATATCTGCTGTTTTTCGCAGCTTTCCTGGCCCTGGTAAAACTACCACACCTATAAACCTGTCAGAACAGCAATATGAAACTATTATTTCATTTGCTTCATGCATCAGTGTTGTGGTATGTGAAACTATTTTGTGTTTCTTTGAGATTTATGTTTTTTTAATTTAATTTAATTTTTAATTTTGTTATCTAGAAAGTTCCTTCAGGCTTATTCTACAGTTGTTTAAATTTCCCAATGTGAGGTTACATTTTTCTTTACCCTGCTTATCATTCAGTGAGGGCTGTCAATTTAAAGATCTTTTTTGGGCAGGGGAGCCATCTATGAAATATTTTACTGATTATTTATTTCCTTCCTGTGTCTCTAGTCTTTCCTTCTGGAACTTCTAATAAATGGATGTAGAACACCATGTTTTTCCATTTTTTTAATTTAAGGTTTCCAGATTCTCCAATTTGCTCTTCAGTGGTGTTTTTGCTATATATTCTATTATTAATTTTTTAATCTATACAATTAGTATTTTTAAGTGACTATTTGGTTAATGATAAGATAGATTTATGACACAGTATCATTTCTTAAAGATCTGTTATTGAAAGCCTCTTTATTATTGTATTAAATCTGCTTGTTAGGATTGATGATGCCTCTTTTTAATTCTATAAGTTTTTCTCAGGTGTTTTCTAGTCCTTTGTATGGGTTGTCATCTGTGTTTCTAGATCCCTGTAAGCATTTGTGTGAATGCTATAATTTAATATTGCCACCCTCCTTTATGCCACCAACCATGGAGAAGCAGTAGAAGGCAGTAATCAGCAATGCTCAGAAATACTTATTTTCAGTAGATAGTGATGACCATACCACCTGGAATTTCCAGCCTTCCAGGGCACTGCACTGTCTTTCAGGCCTCACATCTTCATTTTCTCTGATTGTCTGGTACAGATGCTTCTGATACCCTGAGCTTTGCACAAAAGGCATGAAAGGCAAGAGATCAAGTAGCCTCAACAAGCAGATGTGATATCGTAACCACCCAGCCCTGAGTAGTTTCATGATTCCTTTCTGGCCCCTGTGATCCTTCCATTTCTTCACTTGCAAAGCCTTGACTGCCTTTGTATTCTTTTTAGCTAATTCTTCCTTGAGTCCGTTACAGGCTATTTTTTTCTTTAATAGAATCTTATCTGCCTACTGTTTTTTGAGTAATTCTCACAATATCTGGTGTATTAAGGTCACACTTTCTGTTCCACTACACCCTTCCAAAGACTGTCATAGATTTAATATTAAAAGCTTTTTTGTTGATTCTATCTGTGCTACCTGCCAATTTTAATTATGCTAATGAACCACTTACTATTGTATAATGATTTTTTTTCACAATATTGCATAGTCTTGCCTTTTTTTGCCCATTGTGAAACCACCAAAACCTAGCACATTGGAAGTTAATAAATGTTGAATGAGTGAAATATTTCTTAGAACAATTAATTTTAGAGTCTAAGTAATTTTAATATATATGTAGTTTAATATTTTATAATTAAAAATTTAACACTTTTGAAAATATCATTTGTTTCTTAAATTTTAGTATAATAATGCTTCAGTCCACACTATCTCTCTGTCTTGCCCTCTAATCAAATCTTACTTATTTGTTTGCTGCTCACAATTGCCTCTGCAGGATGTAAACAGTGGCAGTTCTTACGGCTGGCTTGGGATGGAGGCAGCTTTAGCCACTGGATTGTACTTATCAGTGGCCCCATCAAAAAAAGCACTCCCAAAACAGGCAATGTAAATAAAAATTAGTCCTGCTTCACATCCTTCTTGAGCTGTGTAATGGAAGAAGTGTTACCTGAGTTGTCGTTATCGGCCCTTGGTGCTTTATGGTTCTGAATAACCCTTCCTCTATGGACTGAGGCTGATGCCTTTAACCATGCCTCACCTTCAGAAGCAGTGGCTACAGCAGCAGTAGTTAATTTTATAGGTTTACATGGGTATCACAGGGTGCCCAGATTAAATATCCTTTCTCAGTGTATCTGTGATGGTGTTTCCCAAAGGGAATGAGCATTTGAATTGGTAGACCCAGGAAAGCAGATTGCCCTCCCCAGCGTGGAATGGCATCATCCAATTCATTGAAGGCCTACATAGAACAAAAGGTGGAAGAGGGAGGAGTTTGCCCCTTTTTCTCTGCCTCTCTGCTTGAGCTGGAACATCTCATATCATCTCATCTTACCCTCAGATTGTCTCCTTTGGTTCTTAAGCCTTGAGACTCAGACTGAATCACACCACCGGCTTTTCTGGGTCTGCAGCTTGCAGATAGCAGACTGTGGGACTTCTCAGTCTATAATCATGTGAGCCAATTAGTGTAATAAGTCTTCTCTTATCTATAAATAATATATAATCATTATATATAATATAGTATGTAGTATATATGATATATATATATAATATATAGTGATATATAATTACATGTTAAATATATTTTTAATTGGTCCTGTTCCTCTGGAGAACCCTAATACACCCATTATGGAAAGCAAGTTGACACACACTCCCTGTGGGCCTTCCTTATGTCCCATATGGTCGCTGGGGCCATGCAGATAGAGGGGAGGAGACAAACATGATTTCTGTTCTCATATTGCACACACACCTCAGAGTAATAGAAGAAGCAGGCCTAAAAGGGCAAAATCAAGATTGAATTCAAAAACATGTATATATATATGAAGAAAAAAGGAAATGACATCGTGATAAGTGTTAAGTCAGAGGAAATTTCTGAGACATTATCCCTAACTTATTCAGAATACAAAGCAGATACAGAGTGGAAGACACATGTACATGAAGAATTATGAATGTACAGAATATTTCAGTAAAATGGCAGCATCTTACTTAACATAGGGAGACACTTGAAGTTATATAAGAATGTACTATGCTTTACACTATTGTGTCTTCTAGACACTAGTGTAAAAAATATGGTATATGATCTCTAGTATAAATACTATGGTATATAGTCTTCAAGAATTTACTTGATTTTTAAAAGTAGCGTCAGTGGTACTAGTAATATTGACAGCAAGGGTGTGTGTGTGTGTGTGTGTGTGTGTGTGTGTGTAAATAAATTGGCTCACACAGTTGTGGAAACTGACAGGTCCCATAATCTGCAGGTGGTAAGCTGGAGACTCAGGAGAGTAGTTGCTATAGTTCCAGTCTAGGTCTAAATACCTGAGAACTCAACAGCCTATGATGTGAGTTCTAATCCAAGGGCAGGAGAAGACTGACAGCCTGCCTCAATCAGTTAGGCAGAGGAAACGAGTAAATTCTCCCTTCTTCAGCCTTTGTGTTCTATTTGTGACCTGACCAAACTGGATGATGCCCACCCACACCGGGGAGTGCCCTCTGCTTCACTCAGGCCACCAATTCCAATGCTAAGCTCACTAAGAACACCCTCAAAGACACCCAGAAATAATGTTTAGTCAAATCTGGCTAGACATTGACACATAAAATTAATTATCACAGAGTGCTCAATTGACACATAAAATTAATCATCATGGGTGCTTGCATCTTGGGCCATTGCTCCTCTAAGCTCCTCCTCAACCCCATCACACACTAGGGCTCCTGGGAAGCCAGACCCGACAGCTTTTCACTCACATATGTCCCCACACTGCAAGAGCGCTGACCTTACCTAGTACCCCACACCCACCCTCACAGGATCCACAGCAACCAACAAAGCAACAGAAAACCAACAAACACCCACCAACATTCCCTCTTTTACATACACCCACTCTACTGATAGGGCTGTTTAAAAATAACAAATACATATGTCCTTTATCACTTATAATTCAAGTCCACTTAATAACAATGCTGTGTTTAAATAATATTTAGCTACATTTTCCAGATGAAGAGTAGCATTCAGAGAAGATAAATAGATTCCCCAAGTTCACACAGCAATATAGTGACTTAGGTCTGGTGTCCCATGAGTTTCCAATATCAACACATCATGCTCTAATGATGTATCAATGTAGCCTCATCAATTATCACAAATGAACCACTCTTCTGGGGAATGTTGATGATGGAGGAGGCTGTGTGTGTGTGGCACTGGGAATATATGAAAAATCTCTGTATCTTCCACTCAATTTTGCTTTGGACCTAAAACTACTCTAAAAAATAAAGTATATTTAAAAGAATTACCCTCTGAAATATTGGGCAAATTCTAAGGTCTTGCTCAGGGGGCAGATCAAGGGCTGGTTCCCCACATCCTTCCCCTTAGCTATCTCATCACCAGCTTCTATGATTTCTATGGGTGATCTGGGTTGGGCATCTTAACTTTCTGGCTTCTAGAGGAAACAGAAATTCATGGGACTGTGCTGAATTTCTGGCATGGTTTGAGGTATATTCATGGTTCAGCAAGCATGTTTTAAATGATGTCTGTGATAGACGATTCCCAGTTCTGCACCCTAGAATTTCATGGTGGGTGAGAGTTTGAATTCCCATTGGTCAGTAGGTATTTTTGCTTATGATTCAATTGAGACACAGCTAGAGTTCTCAACTCCAGAATTCTCCTCTCGATAATATTCCACACACATTCTCATTTTTCTGTCTTATATTAAGCATTTGTCTTTCTGCAACCATCTCATCTGATCTCAAGAAATTACTCTAAGTAATATTTGGAGTTAAAGGAATGTCTCAAACTTGCTTGTTTCGAATTTTTTTAAAGGGTCAGAGGATTAAAATAATACAATGTTTTTAGATTTAAAAAACTTTAAAGACCAGGCTTACTTAAACAAATAAAAATGAAAGATTAAAACAAAATATATTATGTAAACCAAAGATGCAATTGTTTAGTTGTTATTGCTGTTGTTGAGAAAGGCAATTTAGTGGGATTAAGAACTGAGTAGAAAATCACAAATGACAGCACAGCTTTGTTTTCTGCATCTGTCTTATTACCTTCCCACACTCTGATTCTAAACCCCATTTGTCTTAAGGATGTTTTTTAAAGGTTATTTCCCATATCCCACTTCCTAATAACCTTGACTTCGTTCATGAATATTTTTGTACATCTACAAGATGTGTAGCATTGCATCAGGTGCTCAGGATTCAAATACCTAATTTATTTGTCATCCCAATTCCTATGAAGCAGGTATTTTTTTTTTTTTTCGCGAGAATGCACAGGCTCAGAAAGTCCAAATGATTTGCCCAGGGTCATGGAGCTAGTAAATAACAGAACAGAATATAAATGTATGACCTACATCAAACCACCGAACCAGACTGACTCTTCAATATATCAGGCTGCTATAGTTCTCAAAATCTACTCACTCCAGTTTTCTCACACACAAAATCTTAAGAAAACTAATGGACAAGAATCCTGGTATGTTTTCTCTTTGCCCTCATGATATTCACAGCTGATATATTTTTAAGGATCTCAGCTTTAAATATCAAGAGAATATTATATCTTAATTTATCTGATTACAAGTTAAATCCTATCTATGAGATACATACACACTAAGTACATTCAATAAGAATATACATCCAATCATCACAGAATGTTCAATATCACTCACTCACACTCAATGAGTTTAATAAAGCCAAGACCCAGCATATATTAAGCATTTACTCTGAAATATGTCAAGAACTTTTGCATATTTTGCCTCCTTCAAGCTTCCCAACAATGTCATTTATTATTTACATTTGACAGATAAGAAAAGTGAACATTAGAAAATTCAAGTCAATGGTGGAGCAAGACACAAACTTCTGAATCTGAGTCTAAGGCCTGTGTCTTTAACTACAACATTCATCTGCCTATAAAAGGAGGAAATCAGGATTTGTAGAGCATGCACACATTTTATTATTGAGCAGGAATAAGAACGAAGGCCTCTATATGCCCACCGCAAAGTGTACTCTGCCTTCAGACAGCTTAAGTTCCTAGGTATAGCCTTATGGTTAAGCTGTAGATTGCTAAGACCTAACCTATAATACAGTGCTTCAAACTGTGCATTTCAGAGTCCTGGCATTTCTACCTACCTCGTGGACTGGTTATCATTTTAGAATGAACCTTTTGCAGTGCTAATTCCTGGGCTAAATAACAATAGTAATGATGACAATAATAAAAATATTCAGTGGTGGTGGTGATGATGATGACAATAATGATGTTATCACTACAGGTTCCATTCCAAGTGGCCTTGTTTGTCAGAGAATTGAGCAGAAAGCAAATTGGAAATCTGAAATGAAAAGGGTTAACTGGTAAATTGCCATGTGTGAATCTGCTTTGGTTTTTGCATTTTCTGTAAGACAATTTGAATTCTAAATGGCACTCCAACCCAGAGAGTGTGAAATCTGAAACTTGCACTGTGAAAGTCATACAACTGAGCTCTGATAAGTAACCTTAAATAATTTGAGACTTAATGCACCATTAAGATCATTTCTGTTACCATCTTGTAACAATTGTGTGGCCAATGTTAATAGATAGATTTCCTTTTAGAAAGGCTGGGGCCTTCCTCCAGCCCTGAATGGCACGCCTGGACTGTGAGATGCCAATGCATATACCATCTAGCCATAGTGGAAGAGTGATTATTCTTAAAAAGTTTCAATTAAGCTCCTCTTTTGATCTTGTCTAGCTGCCTTGTAAGTTGGTTAGATGGAGACTTCAAACTTTGTGAGCACATGGTAGGGGAGAGGTTTATGTGCCTGCCTCTTCTTGCTCTCTGTACAAGAACAAGGCTTTATTAGGCTCCTTCTCCATAGCAGATGAATATAAACTCTATGGGATACTTTATAAGCAAAATGGCCCTGCCTCAGAAAGAAATAATTAATCCTCAGAAGAAAAAAATTATCTCTAAGAAAGGAGATTGAGGCTGAGCATCCCAAAACTAAAGAATCTCAGGGATATGATACCAGGCAGTGAATCAGACATCAAAATATGAACTACTGCCATAGCTGAAAAAAAAAAGGCAGCATGTCTTTTCATAAAGGGATAACTCTTATCTCCAACTTCATATCACTGCTTTAGAAAAATGGCAGTATGCATGTAATATGAAATGCTTCTTCCACTAGCAAATTTTCAGAGGAGAAAATTTAGTTTGAGTCAAGACCCAAAACTATGCCTTATAACAGTAAGATTTCACTCAGAAAATTAATATAAAATAATTAATTTAGACTCTGGGACGTAGAAATGTTATGAGTGGCTCATTCTGTCCCAGACAAGCCACCACTGATTTTCTGAGCCAGAACATGGGGATCCTATGCCATCCATACATTAGAGCATAGCATGTGGCTGCTGTGGGAAGGGCACAGACTGACAGAAACCCAGGGCTAGAAGTGCTCCTGAGAGCTTAAACTTTACAGGGGCTCTAAGCATACAGAAAACATCCCCATCATGCTTTTGCCAGCTTCTACTCATGTTCCTCTGGAATCTGCACTTGCACCAAATATCCCAGATCCAGTACTACCTCTTAAAGCCATACAGACCAAGCCCAATCCTTCTTCTACATCTATGAAAGATGCTGTAAAGTTACTTGCACATTTGTCACCTGAGATAAATTTCAGTAGTATAAGTTATTATGGTCTGAAGACTCATAGGTGGAAAGTCCTTTGCTGGGTGCTATTCCAATTTCATTCATTCCTTGACAGCCAGTAAATGAAATGCCTATTCAGCCTTTTCTCCATGCTACTCATCTTGAGTCTTTAAATGGGACTATTTTCTAAATGAGCCTCTTTTAGTCATACTAATGTTGTAGGGCATTTTAAAGTGTGATATCACTTATCACAACCTTTTATTTTTTGAGCAGAGTTTTGCTCTTGTTACCCAGGCTGGAGTGCAATGGTGCGGTCTCAGCTCACTGCAACCTTTGCCTCCCTGGTTCAAGTGATTCTCTTGCCTCAGTCTCGCAAGTAGCTGGGATTACCGGGCCCACCACCATGCCTGGCTAATTGTTGTATTTTCAGTAGAGAGGTGGGGTTTCACCACGTTGGGCAAGCTGATCTTGAACTCCTGACCTCAGGTAATCTGCCTTCCTCAGCCTCCCAAAGTGCTGCGATTACAGCCACTGTGCCCAGCCTACAACTTTTGTATGGTTTAATAACAACCCTGTTGGTTATTACACTTCCCATTTTACATATGAATAAAAAATGCGTCACAGTTTAGTAACTTACACCAGTTCACTTAATTGTTTAGCAGGGAGATAAAATTTAAAAACATTTTGCCTACTTCCAAAATTCAGAGTCTTCGCACTCTACTATACTATCTCTATCTCTTTTCACAAGAGAGGAGCATACTAAATCTAAAGAATAAGATTCAGTAAAATAATAATAATAATAACCCTTTCTCTCTCTCTCAGTCTCTCTGCCTTTGTTTTGGTCTCTAGCTCTGTCTGTCACATGCACACAGACAGCACTGGAGCAGTTCAGAAAGAGTAATCTATATGATATGATAAGGGAGATCAAGAGGCTTTCTTTATCCCAAAATATACTCTCAGTAGTGCTGGTGTTTTGGTTCCTGCAAGTCCCATTACTTTCTCAGGTACTTTTGAATTAGGAATGGTCTCCAAAAGTGCCTTGTTCTTTTGCACATCTGCTCAATAGTTCATTAATGTAAGGTCCATTAGAAATGGATTACCATTTGCTCTGCATACTTTCCAGTGGGAGAAAAAGGAAAAAAAAAGGGTCACCAAAGTAAGGATCAGTAAAACAAAGCCCAAGACAGGGAATGAAGAAATAAAAAATGAATGACAGCAGTAGTCCTGAGGCATCCATGGGTGCCAGAACATGTGGATCACGGTACACTGTAGGATACCATGAAATGAAATTTACAAATTTTAATCCACCATACAAAGAATAATTTTAGAAGTTTAAAACAAAACCTTTGTTTTTACAGAAAAAATTACAGCCTCCAACATGGATTGGTTTCTGCATTAGTCCCATACCAAAATACCGTAAACTGAGTAGCATATAAAGAACAGAAATTTACTTCTCACAGTTCTGGAGGCTGGGAAGTCCAAGATCAAGTGCCAGCAGATTCAGTGTCTGTTGCAGATCTCTTTCTGGTTCTAGGTGGTGTCTTCTAGCTTTGTCCTCACATGTAGTAAAGGCATGGCAGCTCTCTGAATCTCTTTTATTAGGGCATAAATTCCATTAATGAGAACTCCACGCTTATGAACTAATCAAATCCCAAAGGCTCCCACTTCTTATGACCATCACCTTGGTGATTAATTTTCAACATTTGGGTTTTGGAGAGACATAAACATTCAGACAGACCATAGCAGTTTACATTGAAATTCACTTGATATTTTCCACTTATTTATTCATTCAAATATTTTTGACTATCCTTTCTGTATCAGGCATTGCCCCAGAAGCTGTGAGAACAGTGATGAAAAGGAGTTATGGCACACACCCTCATGGAGCTGCTTTTCTTATTCAGCAGCTATGTTAAAATATGGCAGGTGGTGGGAGAGGCTTCCATGGGAAAAATTGCAAGGCACCTAGGATAGTCCAGGAGGGTTAAATGGCTGTTTTGGAGGAAAAGTTAAGCTCTTGTGGATCAGTAGGAATTATCCAGATGAAGGGAAGGAGAACAAATTTAGGAACTATAGCAAAGAGTAATATGATTATAGCTCAGAAATTTGTAGAGAAAAGGTGGCACATGAAGCCAGGGAGGGCAGCAGGAAACAGACCATGAAGTACTTCAATGACATCCATTCAAGACAACAGAAACCACTCTAAATAATCCAAAAGTGACAGAAAGTAATACAGGGAATTTATTTCACTGGAGATGAAGGGCTCTGAACCAAATAGCAGACAGAGGGGACCCTAGAGCTTAGCAATAGCAGGCAGATTCTCTGCCTTGTAGGTTGCAGAAGCAAATGGAAAAGGTGATATTACAGGAGTCCCAGAGCTCAGATCAGGTGATAAAATTAGAAACCACAGCAAAAGCCCTCTTTAGCAAGAGCTGGAACCACACAGCTGCTACCAGAAATGACTCAACAGGCAGGAAGAGAAAGAGATAAGTACCCTTCCACTACTCTTTAGTCTTAAAGGTATCTCCCATTGGTAAACCCTAGCTGGAAGCCCAGTGTTGAAAGCCTGGGAAATGCAGTCCTTGAAACGGAGGGTGGGAAGAACAGTGATCTGAGAACAAACACAGAGGATTTAGTCTTTACCCTGGTTCAAAGAGAAATCTTTAAATATTTATTCCTTTTGCATACTACAAGTACTCCTAACAGAAAATTAGGGGTAAGAATCAATGTTTAAGGACACATATAGGTGGCAGAGTTTGATAATTGAGACAATTCTATGCATTATCTGGTTTTCATTAACTTTGAAGATGATCTTCACTCAGCTTTATCAATGGAACTCTATGGCAAGATCTGTAATAACCTGTGATTCCCTGAAAGGGAAAATTGAGATTAATGGAGCAGGGTATGGGCCTCTAATGCAGAACTCAGGGCAGGCAATCATGGAAAGAAGGCAGTGGTGAATATCAGGACTTGGAGTACTTGGTGAGGAATGAGGATTAGAGAAGGAATCTGAAAGAAGAGGCAGGAATAATAAAAAATAAAGCTTACTCACCTGGACCCTGGCTGATTCTTGCTTCCTCAATCACGGAGCTTTCTCTGAACATCATCATCAACCCTTCATTATCTCTTTGGTCTATGAAGCTCTCAGGTTTCAGTGCTGAACAAAGGGCTCTTATGAGATGATGCACACTCTAAATCATATAATATTTATGAATAATGCAGTCACTAGCCATATGCCTGAGAAACACATTTTTAATTTTGTTTCAAATTAATTTAAATTTAAATAACTATATGTGATCAATGGCTACTGCATTGGCTAATGCAGCTGGAGCACCAACTGGCAATGGCGTGGTAATGGTTTGGACAGTCTTAGAGAGGCCTTTCCATCCCCACTCTTCCTCATCCTAGCTACTTAGGCAAGTTACAGAACGTTGCTGAATCTGAGTTTCCTCATCTTTTAAAACTGGTATGACAATAGATTCTTCTCAAGAACTGGAAGGATAAGGTAGAAAAGTAAGTCAATTACCCAGCACAGTGCAGAGCTGGAGGAAATTTCCAATGAAAATGTATGTGTCCTCCTTTCCAGAACACACTCTCCCCCTTTTTGCACATTGCTTTGAGTTTTGTAAATGGCCATTATAAAATAACAAGATGGATTTTTATATCAAAACTATCAGAACTGCTGTGTGTAAATGACCTACTCTTTCATGGCAGTTACTTTGCTTAAATAGCACTGTCATTGCTTAAATAACTTTGGACAAGTTCTTTCTCAAAGTTATTGCACTGGTGTTTGGTCGCATTTTCATCGTTGACTCATTTTTGTTTTTTACTTCCCTTTTTTAAAAATTATAAATTTTGATTTAAAACACAAGAGAATATGTGAAGAAAATAAACATTTTCTACAAACCCGTCAGCAAGGATTAAGAAGTATTAATGCTGTTTATAGTAATTACAGGCTTTTTTGATGTTCTTTTAAAAATAAAAACATACAATTTGATAGTTTAAATTTTTTACACTTTCACATAAGCATTTTTTATTAAATATTTATTAAAATGTGCTATTTAATGGTTGCAAAATATTCTGTTATATGAATGTGTCAAATTGTATGTGCTTACTCGTACTATAGCTACTATTTGTTTTGGAAGTAAAAAGAAAATTTTTCTAATTTATCAGTCTTGACTTTAAATGCTTTTTCTTTCTCCAAAATATAACCCACTCTAAAAAAGAAGGATAAAAAGAAGGAACAATTATCAAATATCTACTACAAAACAAGCTTATCATATACCTTATCTTATTGAGTCCTAGAAATTCTGAGATATGTAATATTATGCCCCCAATTTTTAGCATTTCAAGTGCAAAATTTTGAAAAGTCTGAATAGGTTGTTCTAAGCCATGTGTCTAGAAATCTTCATAGACAGACTTTTTTAACCCAGGAGTATCGGATTCCCAGTCCATATTTTACACCGTAGCAGGCAACAACTGAATGGTTTCAACAGAAATAGAGTGACAATTCCAAACTGTGTGTGTCATATTTCATCACTTGTACAACTCAGAATATTTATATAAGCCACTTTGGCAAAAGAGAGACAAAGGGCTCAAAGTAATTTGGCTCTTGCTAATTACAAAACATAATCCAAAATCTTTTTTTTTTTAACCACAACCACTTCAGAAGATTGTTCCTGTCAAATATGTCTCAGCACATCAGTCAATCATGCTGCAATATTTCCCCCTTCTTGGCAACCAGGACCTTCCTGGAATTGCCCATAGTGACAGTTTGAGCAATTTTAATTAACAAGCACAATTAGGCTGGAGAAAATTAGTTCCCTAAATGCCAGTTAGTCCTGTTTTCTCTTTCATGCTTCCCAAACAAAGATTGCAGCTGATACTACTGCCCAGCAGTGTCTTATGGAGCCTGAGGGCCAGCAATGTCCAGCCAGGGATTCAGGCTCAGCCTGGCTGTGAACCAGATGGGGATCAGGAAAGAACTTGGGCAAAAGGCCCTTTAAAACCCATCCAAGATACAATTGCCACCAGAGCCTTCTCCAGTTTCTGGGATTTCATTTCAGGGAGGAGAAAAGGTGTCAAGTTACTCTGTTCTTTTAGCAAAGGAAAGGAACTAGTTTTTCCAGGTTTCCAGCTGCAGAAGCCCATGAGCACACTCCTGAAATTGATGGCTCTGTAAAATCATAATATTTGGAGGTGGATGGAAAGAGTGTGGGAGGGCAAGTGAAGTTTTAAAAAGCTGATTTATAATTTTGGATAAAGAAAGATGAATTTATTTATTAAAATGCAGTAGCAGATTAAGACATCATTCAAGAAGTGAATACATTACTAAGTGTTTTGAATGAAAACTCTGGGAGTGTCTGGCATATTTTGATTCTTTCTGTTCCATGTAATGTCAACTAAAAAGGGGCTGACTTATGTAAAGAACGGAAAAAAGAGTTTTAAGATGCAACTCACGTAAAGGTCCAAACCTTGCACCTCGTCCTAGTAAAACCTCTGATAACATATTGCAGCATTATTTTTACTTTACTACTACACAACTTAATGGAACTATAAAATCAGTCTGCTTGGGTTGGAATTCTGGTTTTACATCTACTGGCTGTGTGACTTTGAGCCAGTTACTTATTCTCTTTGTGCCTTAGCTTCTTCACCTATAAAGTGGAGTTAACAATGGTACCTTACAACCTAGAGTAGTTGTAAGTATTAAATGAGATAAGATACTATTTGTAAATTGCTTCAGTGTCCTAAATAAGAATTTATTACACAACAAATATTTTTTGAGTACGATCATTTTCTTGTCCTTCTTTTTCACCTGACCATTGAAAACTGAGCAACTCCAGGCAGGATGGGCATAAAAACATTTTGTCTTCCATGATTCTTACTCTGCCCCAATTTTCCTCTGAGAAAAGTGCGTCCATCCAGTTGACCATCTCCAATTTCCTGCCCCTACACACTTCCATGCTTTATACTGCCAATCTTCTCTCCTTTCACCCTGTAGTTTCAGGAAATTAGCTGTCTCTCCTTTTGTTCAAGGTGAACCCCTTCATCTTTCCTTAGTTCACATCCTCCTTGGAAATCTTACTACATTCCAATCTTCTCTCTTAGCAACTTCTCTGCTTGTGCCTTCTTCAGTGTATAAACATGTTTAAGTCATAATAGAACAAGACTCTCCTAATCACTTGTTTCTTCTTTTAAAAAAAATCATTTTCTTGTTGTACTTTGTTCTTTTTCTGCAATGTTTTGCCCAGGCTTTGTTTGCCCATCCTCTGATCCTCTGTTAGGATATTAAAAAATATTAATATACCTTTTTTGACAAGTTTTAGGTTTATAGAAAAATTGAGCTGAAAGTACAGTTTCCACATACCCCTTGCCCTCATAGATTTCTCTGGCATGAACACCTTTCATTAGTGTGGTACATGTTAGAATTAATAAGCCAATATTGGTACATTATCATTCACCAAAATCCATTATTTATGTTACGGTTCACTCCTTGGGTCGTATGTTTTATAGGTTTTGCAAATGCATAATGACGTATATCCACCATTACAGAATCATACAGAATTTTTCACTGCCCTAAAAATTTCTTATGCTGCATAGTTTTGCCTTTTCCAGGATGTCATGTTTGGAGTAATACAGCATGCGGCCTGTAGAGGTTGGCTTTTTTCACTTAATAATATGCATTTAAGGTTCTTCTCTGTCTTTCTATGGCTTGATAGATCATTGCTTTTTAGCGCTGAATGATAGTCCATTCTCTGGATGTATCATTATTTATTTATCCATTCACCTACTAAAGAACATGTTTTCTTCCAAGTTTTGATAATTATGAATAAAGCTCTTCTAAATATTCATGCACAGGTTTTTGTGTAAATATGTTTTCAACTCATTTGTGTAAATACCAAGGAGTATGATTGTGGTTCAGATGGTAAGAGCATGTTTAGTTCTGTAAGAAACTCTTAATTGTCTTCCAAAGTGGCTGTATCATGATGCATTCCCACCAGCAATGAATCAGGGTTCCTGTTGTTCGACATCCTTGCCAGCAGTTGGTGGTGATAGTGTTTTGGATTTTATCCATTCTAATAGGTGTGCCGTAGTATTTTTGTTTTAATTGTTTCAATTTGCAATTCTTTAATGACATACCATGTTGATCATCTTTTCATATGCTTACTTGCTATCTATCTAGCTATCATTTTTTTTGGAGGGGCTGAGATATCTGTTCAGATCTTTTGCTCATTTTAAAACTGGGTTGTTTATTTTTGAATTTTAAGAGTTCTTAGTATATTTTGGATATGAGTCATTTATCAGATAAGTGTTTTATAAATATTTTTTCCCAGTTGGTGGTTTGTCTTTTCATTCTCTTAACTATCCTTTGCAGGATAGAAGTTTTAATTTTAATGAAGTCCAACTTATTTTTTTTTCATAGATCCTGCTTTGGGGCATTCTGTATAAAAAGTCATCCCCAAACCCAGGGTCACCTAAATTTTCTCCTATGTTATCTTCTAAGAGTTTTATAATTTTGCATTTTACACATTTAGGTCTGTGGTCCATTGGAGTTAATTTTTGTGAAGGGTGTAAGATCTGTGTCTAGATTCATTATTTTTGCATGCAAAGTCCCATGGTTCTGGCACCATTTGTTCAAAGTACCACCTGTCCCCCAAAAAACCTATGAAAATAAGTTTTTTATAACAAAAGAAGCTACAGTAATGAAGACAGTGAAGTATAGCAAAAGAACAGACAAAACAAGGGAACAGAATAGAGAGCACAGAAATAGACTCCCACAAATACAGTCAAATGATATTTGACAAAGGAACAAAGATAGTATTTTGAACACTTGTTTATTTTGGTCTGCAGCTCCTTAATTTCCATCATTTCCATCATAATCACTTTTCAGGCTGATGATTTTTCTGTATTTTTTTCCAGCTAGGACTTTGGACTCCCAGCTGTCCCCCAAATGAAAAGTCTTCTCCCTCTCAGCCTACCTAGTTATGGAGCAATTTTAAACATAAATAAGTAAATGAATGTAAGCCAATTAACTATGGTGAATCACCCAAATACTTGAAAAAATATTAGTCCTTGGCAACGCAAAGGGTATATTTCATGGAATAGGGTTAGAGTTTCTAGCCTGAACCCAAATCATACACTTTTGTGAAAACCAGAATGTAAAATCCAGAGGGGGTCAAAAGGCTCAGAGATTAAAAACTCTCAAATAGCTTAGGTAAGTAGGGTGAGGCAGTGGTGGGAATGAAAGAATGAAGAAGGGATGAACTGGTTACTTCTTTATTTCCAAAAAAACTCCTTCTCAGTCTTTGCTCCTATTGGCCAGTATGGCTATCAGAAGGGAGAAAAGAATGGTTAGTTCTATGAGCCTTATTTTAGAGAAGACTGAATGTTTGTTAGGGTAGCCAAATGCCTGGGAATCGGAGCCTTTAGTCCTCCTCCAAAAACATTTTAACGAGGGAAAAATATGCTTTTCTTGTTAATTCCAATTTTCCTGAAAATTCTGTTACCCAAACTATGCCATTTACTAAACCTTTTTGTGGATTGAAATTTTATCCTTATTTATAAAACCTACTCATGTCTGGTGATATTTTTTAATGAAAGAAAAAGCCAGCATATCACTGTAGAGAATTATTTTTCACAGTTTGAAGAACCTTTTGTTAGAGAACCATTGATTTTATAGGTTGCTAAGGATTTTTTCTTGAGTCATGCATAATTCAGATGGAGAAGAGATGGGCATAAGTGTCAGATGGATTGACCAATGTTACTACTCAAGGAGGATTATCAACCAGTCGAAGCACCCTAGAGCCCTGTGCTCCTACAACAGAAGACCAAGGGAATGACAGAACAGAAGGCTATTTCCCTAATGTAATAAAAAACAGTTCTTTAAATTTGTGTAAGAATAAATATAATGTTTCATGGATAAAATAATGATTCTCAGAGCTCATCTTAGCCCTTACAGAAGTCAAAGATGAGATGGACATTTTGCAACACTCACAATTCTAGGGTGAGTTAGAAGTTAAAGAAATGAATTTTATATGATTTTGAAGTTTTTTTAATACTTTCCTAAGCTTTATTGTGTCTTATTTACTCAGGACAATTTATTCATCTTATCTGCTCTGCTGAATCACCCTTGTAGCAAGCCTCAACCTTGTGTTCACTTTCATGTGACTCTACCTTCTTAGAGACTAAGTTCACTTGAGCATATATTATAAATTCAGGTAAGCTTTATGCTGAACTTGGACCGCAGAATACTCTCGTTCAAATGATAGCTATTATTTCGCCAATCATATTCCTCATACAGAATTTTAACTGAGAAGTAAAAGAGCAAATTAGAATTGGCTGTAAAGTTGATATGTCTGGGAGACAGAAAGCAAGCAGGAGCAGGAAAAGGAAATCACAACAGGTGCTCAGAGAAAAGCAAAGATGAGTCAGTGAGGACCCTGAATGGGAGACAGAAATAAGGCAACTTCCCAACTGCTGTGTCTTATAAAGCTGTTCCTGTCTTTGGAATTCAGTAAAATGTCACTAGCATCCTTCTAATAACCACTAAGGCAGTTATTTCATGAGTTATCTGGAATAAGCTCCTGTTCTTTTGAACCAAAAGGGCCTTGTGCAGCCATCCTCATGACTGCCTGTCAAGATAAGCAGAAGTAGTGTTATCACAGGAAAAGAGAGAAGGAGTGTCAGCAATATGCTTGTCTAGTGTTTCATAGATTCAATTCATCAGAACCACCTGGGGAACTTTTTTAAAAGTAAAGATTCACAGACTCATTCTGGTTCAATATGGGCTCAGGAAACCAATGTTTTCTAAAGATCCCCAAATATTTCTCATGATAGTTAGTTTGGGGAACCTAAACTAAGGGCTCTTAATCTTGGAATTACAGATATCTTTGAAAATGGCATAATACTATGATCCTCTTATTATATGACATTCACATGTGCTTTTGTATAACTTTAGGACCTCCTAACCCAGACCTAGCCCAGTGACCCTTCTGGGAGTAGACAGAAAATGACCTATCCAATGGCCAGCCAATGGGAAGCAGCCAAGCCAAGCCTATTATCTGAGCTATTAGAGACATTTTGCAAATAACAAATAAGGAAAAGACACAAGATAAATTTCTTGGTGTCCAAAAAGAAACCACACTAGGTGTTTCAACAGAGTGTAACGAATAAATACAAAATTGGTTGCACAGGTGTTGAGGAACTAAAAGAGATAATAATTCCAGGAAGCCATTTATGACCCAGGGAAGGAGGACGAAGAGTAGGGGCTAGGATTCTCAGAACTTCTTCCCCAAACTGGTGTTGGTACTCCAGGAGCACGATGGAGGAGCCCTGCAGACCCAGGCCTCTGATCACTGTGGAGAGAATTTTAATCATTTGCTGCTGGTACAATTAAAGAGAAAAATAAAGCTGATTCTGGAAGTACTGAAAGTAGCTGGAGACTGGAACCAACTGCTGCTACTGGGACAATGCTAACGGGCATGGAAATCAGACAAGAAGCAAACAAAAAAATCCTTGTTATTCCTCTGCCTTCCAATTGTCCTCCAGTGCTCCTTATTGGTGGAATAGAAACAAGAAGTGTGGTGATTTGTAAATATACCAGAAATTACTTCAAAACGTGAAAGCTAATTCTCCTCTGTTTCACTGTAGACTGAGCTTAGTGACTCACTTCTAACAAATAAAATAAACTGAAAATGACGCTGTGCAACTTTGAATACTTTTCACAGAAAAGAAAGGCTGACTCAGAGGGCAGAACCAAAAGTCATGGAGAAGTATTCTTGGGCAAGATCAGGCTAAGAAAAACTTTTATTATTAGCCCAGCTGAATTTCAGATTTTCTACGAGCCAATGACTCTTTTGAACCTTGCATTCTTCCCCTTCTTGAACAAGAATGTGTACAGCAGCTCTTCTATGCCTGCGTCACTGTTGCATGTTGAACACATGAGGTAGAAAATTTGCCTCTCAGAGGTCTTAAGGCTTGGAGAAAGTGCACTCAAGAATCTCTATTTTAAAAACTACCTCTCAAGCAAAAAAGAGCCTCAAGCATACCTGGATCTGGTTTAGATAGTAAGATTTTGATATTAGAATGTTGGGGACCTGAGAAGGGGGTGTGTGTATTTTGTACATGAGGGGAATGTAAATAGCCAGAGTGTACACTATGGTAGTTTTATTTTTGAACCTCAAATTTTTAAATATACATTTCTTCATGAAGTGGAGTCTAAGATTACTCCCCTTGTGGTGGGCTGGACTTAGTGACTCATGTCTTACAAATAGAATAAACTATAGGGAACAATATGCAACCCTAAAGACTAGGTCATAAAAGGTACTATAGATTTTTCCTTGCTCTCCCTCTTGAAACAAACATTCTGGAGGAAGTTACCTCCCATGTCAGAAGACAATGCAAGCAGCCTATAGAGAGGGTCATATCAAACAGCCCGTGAAAAATTGCCAACAACCATGTAAGTGGGCTTGAAAGAGATCCTCTTTCAGTCAAGCATTCAGATAAGAATGCGGCTTGGCTGAAATGTTGATTAAAACTTTAAAAGACCTTGAGACAGAAACACCTTGCTAAGCTGCACCCACATCCATGACCCACAGAAACTGTCAGATAATAAATCTGTTTTAAGCCATCAATTTGGGAGTAATTTATTACACAGCAATAGATAACTAACACAGATGGCAAAAGAGAAACAGTTTCCAGAGTCTTAGATTCAACATCACAAAAGCAAATATATATGAGAAGATTTGGAACTGAGAGACAAATTAATCACTGTTATGGTCCAACATTTTCCTACTCAGCATCCATTTATACCTCTGTAGATACGTGTAAATTTCCACACTAAAACACTAACACTGTTATGCTTAACAAGTTGCAAATATCATTCAACCAAATAAAAGACAGTCTCACCTTCTCTGCCAAAATAAGCAATTCAAATTCCCAAAAATCATGGTATCATCTCTAAGTGAAAACAATCCCAGAATCTTTTTCTGGGCAACTTCATGTTGAATGGGAATTTTCTTCTTTTCAGTACTAAACTAACTAGCAGAAGGCAAAGTTGTGGTAACAGAAAGCATCTGCAAGAGTGTTCATAAGTATAATGAAGGGAACAGCTAGTTCTGCATCTCCCTTAATCTCTAGATCACAAATCAAGTGTCCAAGTTCAACCAAGTACAATAACTCATCATTTACTCTGACCTGAATGTCCTCCAAAATATATGTGTTAACTTAATTGCCAGTGTGATAGTATTAAGAGGAGGGGCCTTTTGGAGATATTTAGACCATGAGGGCTCCATGTTCATAGATGAGATTAGTGACCTTAGAAAAGGGCTGGAGAAAACTAGCTAGGCCCCTTTGTTGCCCTTCCACCTTTTCTGCCATATGAAGACACAACTTTCATCCTCTCATAGCAAGAAGGCACCATATTAGAAGAAGAGAAAGAAGCACTCACCGATGAACCTGCCAATGCATTGATCTTGGGCTTCCCAGCCTACAGAATTGTGAGAAAATAAATTTCTGATCTTTACAAATTGCCCAGTTTCATATATTTTGTTATGGCAGCACAAATGAAGTAGGATATCATTAGTATGCCAATTATTTTAAATAATAAAACCAAGGCAAAGAGAATAATGTTACAATGTAAATATAATTAATAATACTGAATTGTACACTTAAAAATGGTTAAAATGTTAAATTTTATGTCATGTATATTTTGTCACAATTAAAAATAAAAATAAATAACAGGAAAAAAGAATAAGTTACTTGACCATTGTTACATGGCTACTAAGTATCAGGGCTGGGATTTGAATTGAGGATTTAAGAACAATTGGTCTTATTACTTAGGACTTAGTGAAGTCTTCTTTGGGTTGAATGTTATTAGAGACTTTCAAGCTTAGGTACCTTGATGTCCACATCTCTTCCCAGATTTGGAGAGTTTTCAGCCATTATTTATTTAAATAAGCTTTCTGCCTCTTTCTCTCCCTCTCTTGCTTCTAGAAATCTCATAATGTGAAAGTTAGCTCTTATGCTGGTGTCCAATAAATCTTGTAGGCATTTCTTCACGTACTTTTTTTTCTTTGCATATTTTCAAATGTCCTGTCTTTGAGTTCACAGATTCTTTCTTTTGCTTAATCAAGTCTGCTGTTGATTCTCTCTCGGTTGTATTTTTGCATTTCACTCATTGTATTATTTAGCTCCAGTAATTCTTTTTTTTCTGTCTCTTTACTGAACATTTTATTTTCTTCATGTATGTTTTATTTGATCCTGTTGAGTTGTCTGTGTTCTCTTATAGCTCACTGATTTTTGAAACAATTATTTTAAATTTCTTGTCAGGCTGTTCACAGATCTTCATTTATTTAGGGCTAGTTCTTGAAATATTATTGTATTTCTTTTGTCGTGTCATGTTTCTTTAATCATTTCAGTTTCTTGAAGTCTTGTGTTGCTGTCTTTATATTTGAAGAAGCAGTAACTTCCTCTAGTTTATACTGACTGGCTTCAGGAGAGAAACGTCTTCACCAAATATCTCAGCTAGGAATTCTGAGGCTCTCAGAACTTTTCTATGGGTATACCCACTCCACATCTCTTGTTCCTTCTTGGGGTGTGGGGTTTCTTAAGATCGTATGCCTTTCCTCCATCCTGCAAAGCCAGGTCAGGTGCTGAGAGCCTCCCATGTGTTTTCCCTAGGACAGTGCCCTGAAATGCATAAGTTTGTGTGCCTTGTCCCAGTCTCACAGAGTCGAACCAGCTGTCTTTACAAGAGCTGTCTTGCGCTCATCATCTGCAAGGGCATGCTTGGACAGCTGGCCTGAGGAGAGTGGTGAGGTGCATAGAGCATTCGAGTTGCCTATGGGCCGGTTGTGTGGGAGTCCACAGGTGAGATATTTTAAGCCACTCATGGATGAGCTGCCTGATTGAGTCTACTGAGCAGTTAGTAGAGTCCATGGCCTCTCTTCTGTTCCCAGCTTCTTCCAACCACTTAGCTATGTCCATCACTTCAGTATCCTGGGTGGAGCAAGAAAGAAGTGGGCCTATTGGCAGCATCTTGCATGGATGGG
Organism: Homo sapiens; assembly: GCF_000001405.40. Taxonomy (NCBI): domain Eukaryota; kingdom Metazoa; phylum Chordata; class Mammalia; order Primates; family Hominidae; genus Homo; species Homo sapiens. The sequence goes on from NC_000010.11 coordinate 83,615,533, forward strand.
AAAACCAGACACTTATTCACCACATTTTTATTCTCCCCTGAGGGAGAAATCATGGGCCAAGGGGAGTCTATCTTGGCACAGAGCTGTGCCACATTAGGAGAAGGGAAACATGGGTCAAGTGAAAATGTCCTTTATACCCCCTTCAATGGATCTCTCTTAGATTTTTTACTTCAGTGGTATACTGGAACTTCTCCATTGACTCATAGATTCCTGCCAAGGTACTCTTGTTCCTGGGTGTTTGTCAAAATTGATGCTTTTGCAGGAGGATAAGGTAGAAAGCTCCTATTCTACCACCTTGCTGACTTTACTCTCCTTAGGAATTAAAAATTTATTACCAATACTCATTATCAAGACAAAACTTATTTACCAATGCCTTTTACATTTTACTGTGGTGAAGAATTAACAAGGTACGAATTAACAGTATGCATAACTAATGTAACCTTTCTCATTATATACTTGACAAAAAAAGAACATTGTATCTGTTTTTCATTTTCAAAGCCAAAGTATTTAAGATTATAAATAACTAATATTTTCTCCTTATTTTTTTCCAGTCTGTGTATTTTCTGTGGAGCAGCTAGAGCTTTTTAAATTTTTTGATGAAAAAACTTTTAGTCAGATGAAGTCAATAACTAGGGGCCCAGAAAACAAGATGGCTTCTGAGAGTAAAGCTAGGATGTAAAACACCAAAGGTGAATTTAATAATCAACATTTTTTTTCAGGGATCGGTCACCTCTATGGTCAAAGTGATAAAGAAGATTTGGGATCCAACCAAGGAAATATAGCAAAGTCCTGCATCATTAACAAAATTAATATATATAAGGGAAGAATAAAACTAGAAGTCCAGATAAAGGGATGTCCAGAGAACAAAGATTTGTCACTATCTTCAGGAATGTCCAAGGAAGAAAACACTCCATCAACTGACATAGATATTTTACAGTCCTTTCTTTAAAACGTTAATGAAATAAGCAAGGAGTCTTATTTCATACTATAATTATCTAGGAATAATACTAAAATTAACAAAAATAACTATTATTATATAGTATATAGTATTAATCACTATCATTATTCTTGTTATCCATAGTATTACTAATAGCTAATTATCAAAGAATGTGTATGCTACCATTATTTTCTGACAGTGGTTGTAAGGAAAATTCACCTTTCTTGCTTTCTTTAGGTGTTCCCCAAGCAGAAAATGAATGAATTGGTTTCACATGTAGTTTTCTAGCAGGCAAACATGCTAATATGGGCATAAACTTTTCATATCATTCTATTTTTCAGTGAAGTCAGTAACCAATTTATACAGAAGTCCCACGTGAGTTTGGTGAGTGTGCCTCAAGTAATTAACAATGCTGATCTCTGTGTGCTGACAAAAAAATGAATTTTGGAGCCAAAAATGTAAGGCCCTGACCATAAACCACAGTTGTCTCATTTTGGCACCTCTCTGATAAGGACCTCAGCCAGTGCCTTTCTACTACTGCTACCTGGAATCTTGCTTGATTCAGCATCACAGATATGTTTTAAGTGTTTCTTTTTTCATTCATAGAACCAAAGAAAAACAGTATCCTTCCTTCCTTCCTTTCTTTCTTTCTTTCTTTCTTTCTTTCTTTCTTTCTTTCTTTCTTTCTTTCTTTCTTTCTTTCTTTCCTTCTTTATTTCAACAGCATTCGTGTGTGTTTCTTTGGTGCTATATGCTGCTGCAGCAGTATACCATGCAAGAACAAAGAATGGAAAAGTGTAATGGCTTATACCAGAAGAAATCTCCTGTAAAATCTACAGGCTGGAACTTGGAATTTACTTTGAACTACCCTTCCATCTGGCAGAATAAGCAGAGCCTGTTTAACATTATGTACATAAATTTTCTCATACTGTCTTTAAATGAAAGCCTGTATGAGCTTTGCTACTCTATAGTAGCAGGACCTATTCCTGAAGATAGCTTCATGGTATAGGTCACACTTGCATCTCTTTCCCACTATTACCATATTTCAAGACACTGGAGTTTTCTGCTAGAAGGGTAGTGAGGAAGATGGTCTTATTTTAAGTCAAAAGTCCTGACTTATGTACAAAAAAATCATGTGTTATATGTGAATCAAGTGCTATTGTTGGAATTAAAAATTCTCCCTTGGCATGGCCATATTATACTTTTAAATTGTAGAAAAGGATAACCGAGTTATACAGGAATTGGCTTTTAGAAAAATGTCAAGTACAGTTCTGCTTTGGCTGGGCTAAATAATCACAATTATTTAGCCACAATTATTTATATCTCCAAGCCAGGAGACAGGGAAGTGAGTGCATCCCTCAGGTGGGGGGAGTTGGGAGAAAATGCCTCTCTGAAGGCTGACCTGCGTCCTGTGTCTGAGCTCATGGCAAATTGTCAGTCAGTAGTTAAAGTATAACCCTGGACACAAAATGAAAACACGGAGCTTAGATTCTCTTCAGTGCTTATCTTTTATCTGATGCATTTTCCTGAAATGGAAGCAGGTTTTCATAACAACATTTTACGGCTTTTTTGCATAATCTCTCTCTCTCTCTCCACCCCCCCACACACACCCTCATCTTTTCTCTCTTGTCCCTCTTTATATGTTTTTCCTTTCACTGGAGTCTGCACAATGAATGATGACATGGATGTTCTGCAAAATTCCAAGCAATCTTTGATTTCTCTCCACAGTGGCTTAGTAGCTTCTTTCATAATTCTTAAGCTCCCAAACTCATTTCCTCCTCCTCACTTTCAAAGAAGAGCAAATTAACTGTTTTATTGATATAACTGGAGTTGGGGAGAAACAGCCAGTGACTATCTAGATAAGAGATAAACATTACCAGTCTTTCAGGCTCAGTTTTCACTCTAAATCCCATTCAATTCTTTGTGTCTTTTGACAACTGATTTCACCGGAATGTAGAAATGAATCTGCATGTGCCACACTGTGCTACTGAAAGTTAAGCCACCCCTTTTCTCCCCTCTTATTTGTGCAACAGAGAATTGAGGAAGGAAATGTTCAAAAGCCTATTTTTTCTGTACCCTCCCTATTCAAAAGTGCATAACATTTGCTAATGCAATTTATAGTCACTTGGCCCTGTTCAAATGCTGGCTCTAGTACCTTCTACTGGTGACAAAATCTCTCTGGCTTCCAGTGTCCTCATCTTTAAAACAGGAATTGTAATAATCCGCTTCATAAGATAGTTCATTCAGTCTATGCTTATTGAGCACTGACTCTAGTCAGGCATTCCTTTAGGCCTCTTACCTGCTTTAACTCAGTTTATCCAACAGCTACTTTTGATACAGTTACAATACTCCCCCTTTATCCACAGGGGATACATTCCAAGACCCCTAGTGAGTACCTGAAACCAAGGATACTAGACGTTTTTTTCTTCCTGTACATACATACCTATAATAAAGCTTAATTTATAAATTAAGCACAGTAAGAGATGAACAACAATAACTAATAATAAAACAGGACAATTACAAAAGTATGCCAGTACCACTACTCTTGTACTTTGGGATCATTTTAAAGTAAAATAAACATTACTTCAACTTAAGTACTGCAACACTGTGACAGTTGATCTGATAACCAAAGAAGGTCACTAAATGACTCGGGTGGGTGGAATATGCCATGTGGACATGCTGGAAAAATGGAGGATTCATGTCCCTCTGGATGGCATGAGAGTTCATCAGAATGGCCTGCAATTTAAAACTTTTGGATTGTTCATTTCTGGAATTTTATATTTAATATTTTTGGAACACAGTTGACCACAGGTAACTGAAATCATGGAAAGTAAAACTGCAGATAAGAGGAAACTATTGTACTATTATTATTCATATTTTACAGATGGGAAAATGTGAAAAAGCATCACATTATTAAAAGCTGGGCAGTGACTAATGCTGCAATGCAGGACAATTTAGTGAATCTGGGTTGGAGCCTAGGGTTTAGGTTCTGAGCCTAAGCTTCTGAGTCCCACATCTCTGAATCCTGTATCTGCATCTTGGAATGGTACCATTCTCCAACGAGCTCTGTGCAGTGGCAAATATGCTGAAATACACTCTAGGGCATTTTAGTGCACACTGATTTCTTCCTGGCCCAATAATTATCTCACGAGCTAAGTGATCATTTTATAAATGGCTACCTTTTTGCAAAGGAAATTAGGGGGGGATGGATGAGTGAAGAGGCAATGCTGCAGATTCCCATTTCCCCTCCAAGCAGCTTTTGGATAGAGAAGAATAAACTCACACAATGACTATGCTAGTAGGTTTTATTATCTCATGTTTAAAGGAGAAACACACAAGACTTAAAGTAGTAAATTAAATTGTCCAAGGTCATCAAACAAAATAAGTAGTGGTTACATTTCTAATTCTTTCTAACTCTAAAGAATAAACTCTTCACTGCAAAAACCTTGCTTCTCTGTGATAGTTTTAAGGATGTTCACTGATTATGTTTGGCTCTCCATCTTATGGCACATGATAGGTCTGCCTCGGTACTTGAGTGGAGATATTTTTCACCTACTTATTTTCCTACTCTTGTTTGTCTCAGACTGTTATTATTATGTAAAGTTCTGAACACAGAGGAATTGACAGCGAGGAAAAGGAGGTATGCTAGTAAGTAAGTATAACATAATTTTGTGATAAATGGTTTGGTCTATTCAAACTACAATGTGCTCAGCACATGTGCAAATTAGTTAAGAGTTGATTGTGAGTCAATTGATAAAGGAAGAGGCAAAGCAATGTGTTAAAGCAGGAACATTACAATATCTAGTCAATCCCTAGACTAAGTAGCATCACTAAGATTTTGCAGTATTAGGCAAATTACATTTCATTGAGTCTCTGACGCATCAACCATAAAATAAGGTTTTAATTCAATGCTTTATGCCATAAATCAGTATATAAAATAAAGAATGGTCACTATTACATGAGAGGCCAGTATTAATAAATTTCCCTGTGTACTTGTTCATTCACCATCAAAAGTTTTTGGACTGGCTCATGTTCCTGTGATTGTACCCAATTTCCCAAACATATGTATAGTATATATAGATACTTTCTGGTTTATAAGTTCTGGGAGATGATAGGCCCATGCTATCAGTAATAAAGAGCATGTCAGTTGTTGACTTTCCATACTAGTTTTACCATGTAATATATTTATCAATACTTGTATTTGTTTTTAGGAATCCAATTTATCTTTTCCAGAGCTTCATTCTCAATAACCGCCTAACCCAATCAGTGCTAAATCACCATCAGGGTAAAATCTAAAACAACAAAACAGAAGAATATCAGTATAAATATTAAAAAGCTTCAAACTCCCACCTGGCCTTTTTTTCAGTGCAACTAAGTGTCCTAATCAGCAGGTATGAGTCAATGTAGGCAACAGAGTGAGCCCACAGAATCCTCAACCCTTCTATGCTCTGCACATCTCACAGTGAATTCAAGGCAGAGAAAAAAAAAAAAACTGTTCCCAAAGTTAAGAACCATGTTGTTCTAGCATCTAAGATTAGGCAGTTTTCAAAGGCTAAGTCAGCATTCTGCTCATTCCTTTAGAACACTAAATACAACTAGAGAGAATGTAACTAATTTGTTATTGACCTAATTTTTACATGTCTCACCATGTAGAAGAAAACTCCATACGGAGAATGATTTGAATGTCTTATGTCTTCAGAGCCTACTAGAGTCCCTGGCATTGGGTAGGCCTCAAAAAACCTTTGTTGTGAATTTAAAAATATGAAATATTTGTGGATATAACAGCACATTTTTAATTCATTCATTCAATCAACAGATTTTGAGGTCTTGTGTAGATGGCACAATGGGGATGCAATGATAAAGAAATTAGATATGAAACTTACCCTCTGGTGGGTGAGATGGACATTAAATTATTATTTATATAATTAGATATTTAATTACAATTTTGAAAAGCACTACAAATAAGAAATACAGTTTGCCAAGGAAACATATTATTTGATCTAAGCTGTGTGAGGTAGTTTAGGGAAGGATTCCCCGATAAAGTGACACTTGAGGCAAGATGTAAGGAATTATTGGTAATTAATGTGACGTGTCTCGAAGAAGAAAGGGCATTCCAGAGGAAAGAATACACTTCAAGGTCCTGAGATGCAAAGGCTAAAGCTGCATTCAAAGGACTGAGGGAAGCTCAATGTGGCCAAGGCAGGAAAAGTGAACCAGAGTCCTGTGGGATCAGTTTAATGAGGCAGGCAGGGACTGGCTGTTCCAAGAACTTACAGGTTATGTTAAGGTTATTTTTTTTCATTGTCCCAAGAAGAAGGAGAAGCACTCGAAGGGTTTTAGCCATAGATTTGTTTTTAAAATATAATTGTGGCTGTACTAATGATAATAGCTTAGAGAAATGTAACAGTGCATGTGAGGAAACCAGTCAAGAGGCAAGAGCATGGAGGGTGAAAGTGAAGATAGAAAAAAATAATAATAAAGAGGATTTGGAGTTGGGAAGAAAATTAGGTTGTAAATTTGATGACAGATGGTGATTAAGATGTGGGGATGGGGTGAGAAAATGTTAAAGATAAATCTCTAATTTGTATCTTGCGTGATTCAGTCCCATTCAGACCAATTCAGGGTCAACTTACTCATTAGGCTCAGCAGACACGGTGCCTGGGGCCCACAGAATTTTTAGAGGGGTTGTCAAGAAATTTTTTGATTTTCTTTTAATCCAAAGAGCAAAATGAACTTTAGCAAAGACAATGCTTAAACATATAATATTAATATATTCTTCTTTATACCAATGCAATAAAATATAACTTTTAATATTCTTATGGAGGAAACAAAAGTGCCCAGGGCCCGTGGAAGTCATAATGCAGCCCTGGAGCAACTGTCAGTGATATAACAAAACTGGATGAAGACCAGGTGGGCATGGGGCTGGAGGCTATGGCAGCACAGGGCAAGTTGGCTCTGACATCAGTTGAGTTCAAGGTACCTGCGAAACATCCAAGTGCAAGTGACAGAAAGTCCTTTAGATATACAACTTGAAAATTACTATGGCATTCTGAATGTCAGAACATGTGGAGTCATAAAGTATGGATTTCAGTTCCAACTTCACCATTGTGGTAAACTTTGGTTACTCTTACTACCTTAAACAACATCATCTTTCCTTCAAGAAATGCTTCAAAACACATGGCTTTGTTGATGGTGACCCTTGGCCCATTTGTAGTGAGAGGTTACCTGTGGGCTTACCCAAAATGAGCCAATCAGAGTCCTCCTGTGGGATTTTGTATCTGACAGTGGTTGGAAAGACTCCTGTGACTTCCTACCAGTAAATCTACTAGAACGTGCCCTTGAAATTGCCAGGGAAAGGGTACACTACCACACACAGAGACTTACTTGAGAAAATGAAGCCAACATTTATAAAGTGACAGATTCAGTGTGGAGAAAATTCCAATGCCATTGTCACCCCTGTTTCCAATCCTACCACCACATCTACCCTTGCATTCTCTAGATAATTGACCAATAAGTTGTCTAGTCTGTTTAGGGTAATTACAATTTTGATTTCTATCATTTTCAAAAGCAAGAAAGATGGCAAATACAACTACAAAACACCACATGATATTGGGTAAGTCTTGTAATCTCCCCAAGCTTCAGTTTTCTGGTCTGTAGGATGAATATGGAACAACAACAACAACAACATAGGGTCATGAAGATTACATGAGAAAATCAGAAAATTGCTTTAAAGTTCAGTGTACAGCATGCACACATTGGTTATCATTTTCATGACGAAGAAGAGAGAAAGCAGGAGGGACTTCTAGATGTCAACATGGGAGCTGTTTGGCCCACACAGGGTCTGGCTCAGTTACTGGGAAGCCATTACATGTGGTTTAAAGAGTGCTTTCTCAATGTGCACCATTAGATCCAAGAAAAGTCATTATTATTTTTCTGTGGTACTTTCTGCTTCATGTTAATCTTTTTTCCTTTTCTTTTTTGTTATTGTTGTTGTTGCAGCTCCCTCTTCACAGAACGTGTTAATCTTTACTAATTTTCCAACATTTGCAAAAAGCAGTGAGCTTACTCTGTATGAAATTCATGTAGAGCTAGGATGAGTTGCCTTCCACCTCACTTAATGCTCACAGTGAAAAATTCCTTCTCTGTGTCCTCTAAGTGTCCTGTCCTAACTGTACTATTGACCTCTCCTCATTGCAGTGTGAACTGTTTATGTCCACTATCTCTCACTGATTAGACTGTGAGTCTTCAAGGACAGACATATAGTCTCATTTATGTGTGTATACCCCAGCACTGAGCACACAACAGGTACTCAACAAACATTAGTTCAATAAACAGATGAATTTAGATACATTATATAGTAAACTCACAAAACACACATTAGCATCTCTAACACCAGTAATGTGTAATCCGCACTGTAGAATCTGAAATAAAATCCAAGCAGCTGGATTGAGATTTGGAAGTATATATATGGACAAACAGGTGGTGCTCAGCTCGAGGGTGGCCTGCATCCCCTTTATGAGAAAGAGGCCCTGTGAAGGTAGATGTGAACTGTCTTTAGCTTAGCCTGTGGCAGGAGGCAAGCTCTCGTTAGGAGTACCTGAAAAAACACATTTCCACAATAAGACAACTGGTTGTTCAAGACACTGCCACCACACAGCTTTACTCTGTCTGGCTTTTACTTTATAGGTCTATCATTAGGGCATCTATATTTTATTTCTGTAAAAACTGATAACGAAGTCAGAAAGAGCCTTTTGTGGCATCACTATTTGTAAATTATACGGGCATAAAAGAGCATCACAAAGACTAGAACTCATATTTTGCATTCTCCAATAAGCATACTATCAATTAAAAGCTCAAGGTCAAGAAGCTTAGCCAAGTTTCCATCCAGATGGAATTTATAATAAATGTTATAAAGCACTGAAAACAGGGGATTCCAGCCAAAGCAAAGACATGTCATAAAAGGTACACACCTCCCTAATGTGGTAATAGCACCACAAGCATGGGTCTTAGTTTGCCACAAATCTGCTTTTTCATTCTGTTTTTCAGCAAACATGTATTCAGTGCCTACTATGTGCTGAAGAATGCATAGAAGCTGTAGTCATGAGAAGGTCCCCGAGAAAATGAGAAGAAATATATATACACAAACTCAGACCCAGATGTACATGGACACACACACCATGTGCAGCTAGTAGCGCAAAATCAGTCAGACTAAGGCAGAGTAATTGGTGATTGCTTCTTCAAGCCTGTGTTATGGGTTGAATGTGTTCCTTCAAAATTCACATGTTTAAGTTCGGACCCCAGTACTTCAGAATGTGCCTTATTTGGTAATAGGTTTTCAGTAGACGTAATTAGTTAGGTTAAGATGAGATTATACTGGGGTGGGGTAGGCCCCTAATCCAATATGGCTATTGTCCTTATAGCACAGGAAAATTTGGACACAGACACACATACAGCAAAAACACCACTTGCAGATAACAATCATGCTGCCACAAGCCAAGAAACTACCAGAAGCTAGGAGAGAGACCTGAAGCAAGTCTCTATCTCCTACTCCAGAGTGATTGTTTGATTGGAGCGTGGGATGGAATTTATACCTTCAGAGAAAGGATGGCTCTGTGAACACCTTGATCTTAGACTCCTGACCTCCAGAACTACGAGACACTATATTGCTGTTGTTTAAGCAATTCAGTTTGTGGAACTTTTTTACAGCAGCCCCAGGAAACTAATACAACTTAGTTGATGGTTGATTAGATGACTGATGATTAAATGACGTAGTGTATATGAAAAAGCTTTTTGAACTTCAAAGTTTAAAAGCACAAAAATGTACATCATCCATAGAGGCCTTTTGCACAGCCCAAATTATATTGTGTTCCCAAGCAAGTCTGAGCCCCAGGCTTTAGATTTCAAGAGCAAAGCATGGAATCTGGATCTGTACCATACAATACAGGAGCCACTTGCCACGTGGGAGCACCCAAAATGTGCCTAGTTCAAAGTGAGATGCACCGTGTCAAACACACACCAGATTCCAAAGACTTCCTCTGAAAAAAATGTTAAATTGTTCATTAATATTTTTTATACCAACTACATGCTGAAATGATAAAATTTTAGATGTATTGAGTTAAATAAAATATGCTATTAAAAATAATTATTTCACCTGCTTTTTTATTTTCACCTTTTTAATGTGGCTACTAGAAAATTTACAATTACATATGTGGCACATATTCTATTTGTATTATACAGCACAACTCTAAAGGTAAAATGTGTCCCTACATTTTCCTGAAATCACATAGATACTATTTTCCATCTGGTTATGTGTCAATTATAGCAGAAGGTCTTCCTTCAGATCACCAAATCAGAGCACTTTGCAGTTAAGTGCAAGGAGGTTTGCCTGCCAGTGGTTTCATCAGCTGCTCCCACCTCACCAGGGAAGGTTTTAAAAGTTCAGACCTTTGATCTCCTTCCTCTGCTTGTCTTCATTCCACCGCCTAAGAACTCCAACTCATCCAGTTGGTGGCGAGATCTCAGATTTTAATTCACAATTAGGTTAGAAAGCCAGTGTCCTTTGCTCTTCAATGAGGAGGTAGTTTTTGAGAAATGACTTCCCCTTGGCCAAACAGAAAAGTCTAAACATTCTACTTTCGAAATTATACAGACTACCATTAAATTTACAGCCTGTCACTTACTATCCCTGGGACTTTTCACAGATACTTAGGGCTAAGCATTAGCCGGGTGATAGAGATACAGATAATTACGAAATAGATTCTGCCATTAGGGGACTGAGAAGCAATTTGGGAAACTAGCATTTACCTCCAGGGTTACAATGATCATTGAATGACAGCTCATATGAAAAGTGCAGTGTTCTCTATGGACATAATACCTATTAGCAGGATTATCACCTCAAATTAAAAAGCCTTAGTATTATGTGTGACACAAAGAAGTTTTTTTGTAATACAGTCCCGCCCCATTTTTATTACCTCACAGTTCACTACACTTTTCAATGCCCTGAAACGTCTCCCAAAATATTCACTTTAGATATATGAAAATTAAAATCCAGGAAGATATATGACACAACAACTCCCATCCCCCAATTACACAATCACTCTGAAGCAGCAAATGAAGATAGCAGACCACTTTGTGGGGCTATCCCCAGTCTTAAGGAACTTATCCATAATAAGCAGGATTGTGTCAACTGAAACTATGGGGACAAGCTCCGACCCTAGGTGATACACTGCCATGAAGTAGACAGGATGCCCCATCAAGCAGGGATCAACACAGGACAAAAGTATAATCCTCGCATTTAGGATGCATGGCAAATTCAGGACCTGCCAGACACTGAAAAGCAAAGAATTAAGGAGACATTCCTGATATATTTCCAGACATATTCTACGGGCATCTCCTTGCACAAGGCTTCCAAGGTATACACTCTTCTTACCTTTCCAGGATGAAGAACAGGATTTAAGAAATAGAGAAAAGAAAGCTAAGTTAACAGTAGCTTAATTCCTTGAAGAAACCAATATTAACATCACAAATATGTTTCATTTAAGTCTTTTTCTCTGCTTATGTTTTTAAAGTTGGTATAACACTTTATAAGTAGTTTTGTATTTTGTCTTTTCAAATATATAATGTGAATTAGCCCATGTTAGAAAATATTCTTTCAAGTATCACTTTTAATATAAAAACAACATAGCATTATATATATGTATGTATACATTTCATGATTTGTTTTGTATTCTTTATAGTAATTATTTTGTGATAATGAAAATACATGATATAGTATACAAATGCCAGACATGAATATCTTTGGTCATCAATCTTTGTTTCAGATGCTAAAAACATCCTTAGATTGCATCAATTAGCATAAACAATTCAAAGACATGTACTGCATGTCGTCAAACTGCTTACAAGAAAGTCTGGACCATTGCAATTATACTAAGAGAGCAGGAAATACACATTTTAGCGACGCCTTGTTGAGTAAAAAATTATTGGATTTTAAATTTGCTAATTACATATACAAAATAATAAGATCCCACTTCTATTGATATGCTTGCTTTGATACCAAGTAAAAAACAATTTTTAAAATATTTATTAGTTCTCTTTTCCTCCCATTCACAATTGCTTCAAAGAGAATAAAATACCTAGGAATCCAACTTACAAGAGACGTGAAGGACCTCTTCAAGAACTACAAACCACTGCTCAATGAAATAAAAGAGGATACAAACAAATGGAAGAACATTCCATGCTCATGGGTAGGAAGAATCAATATCGTGAAAATGGCCATACTCCCCAAGGTAATTTATAGATTCAATGCCATCCCCATCAAGCTACCAATGACTTTCTTCACAGAATTGGAAAAAACTAAAGTTCATATGGAACCAAAAAATAGCCTGCATCGCCAAGTCAATCCTAAGCCAAAAGAACAAAGCTGGAGGCATCACGCTACCTGACTTCAAACTATACTACAAGGCTACAGTAACCAA